>NC_000009.12:98372067-98523582 GCF_000001405.40 Homo sapiens
CTGCTCAGGACTGAGGCCCTGTCTGGCTCTCACCTATTCCCCAGGACCAAGGTGTGCCCTGACGCCTAGCCCTGGGTTGGTGGCTAATGGGAACAGCCGGCCCTGACAGGAGCCTACAACTTGGATCCCTGAAGGCTGGAACAGGCTGGCCACCACCTGTTAGGTCTTAGGGGCCTCCAGGACGCCCACCTTCACCTGTACTGTATCACTCCCAGACCCCCCAACCCTCACCATTTAGACTGGACACCCTCTAATACCCAGGAGACGTGCACATCTCCAGGTGGGCCCCACATCATGGTCCAGCCCTGGGCTGTGCACCACTGAGTTCTGGGGCCTCCCACTCACTGGGACAGAAAAGCCACGTGCCCCATGAGTTGCAGCTCTGAGCTTGGGTCTTTGCTCTCCCTCAGCTCTGTTGAGCTTAGTTTCCTTTGAAAGGTTCCAACCTGCCTTGGCTGAACACAAGGCAGAAAGTTGGATGTGGTAGGGGAAAAAGAGAGGCAGCCAGGCTGCAGCAGACAGCTCAGGCCCTCTGCATCCAGAGGAACTGAGCACAGTAGCTTTGCTTGGCTTCCCCAGGCCCCTTCTAGTTCAGGGCTGGCTGCCACCAACACATGTAGGAAGTTTCCAAGAAATGTTCCCAGCCCATTCCCCTTACAGATTCATTCTGCTCCTGCCTTTCCGGCAACTTGACTCTCCAGGTTTTCAGAGACAGAACATTTTGCGTTTCAATTTTATTTGTAAAAATAGGAACTATTTTTAGATTGCAAGGCTGACCCACTAAATCAAGGGAAGGACAACAGTATCACAGCGCTTGTTCAGAAACACAGGCCTGTGAACCATGAATGCTGTGAGGGTACAGGTGGGTGCTTAGCCTTCTATTTTCTTTTTCTTTTTCTTTTTCTTTTTTTTTAATTTCACAAACAAGGAGAAATCAGATGGGTAAAAATGAACCACAGTGCTTTAGAAAGAATGTAGAATGGCCACATTATTACCCAGATGATCATAAAAGGATGTGAGAAAAATATACAAAACAGGGAGGGGGAAAGAGCCAATGATAGAGAATTTAGACCTGAGCATATTCAATGAACAGATAATACATTTGTCATCTGTCAGAGATGCATGGGACTTGACAGTTCATCTCATTCATTCACTCATTCGTTTGTTTGTTCATTTGTTCATCTTCAACAAGTATTATTAGGACAGAGGCAAAGTATACAACAATAAAAAGAAATAACAACAACAATAACAGACACCAGGGTGATTTTTTGGAGGTATCAGTTAAGTGAGGAACTCCCTTAACAGGTGAAGAAACTGAGGCCCAGCGCATTCAAGATAGTTCCCTTAACCATGCCACACAGCTCCAGAGCTAAGCCTGGAACTCGATGCTTTGACCCGGTCCAGGCCTCTCTCCCCGACATCCTGCTGCTGCCTCCTCCTCAGATGGAGTCTCCTCAACTCAAATCAGGTTCATCTACACCTAGGAGCCGGATGTCAAAGGACCAGGACACACCCAGAGGGGGTAGCTGACCAACCTGTAACACCCTCCAGGGACCTCAGCACACTTGTAAAGCTAATTTAGTGACATGACTGTTAAGACCAATGGTCTACAGCATTTTTGATAACATTCTCTTGAACATGTTTAATTTTACAAATGACCATATACAGACCATGGGCATTTTAAAAAGGACAAAGATGAAGTAATATCATCATTTTTACCTCATCCTGTGGCTGACAAAGATCTATTTTGAGGAGATGTGTCACTCCAGTGTGCAAAGCATTCCTTTTTTTTTTTTTTTTTTTTTTTTGAGATGAGATCTTGCTCTGTCCCTCAGGCTGGAGTACAGTGGTACAATCACAGCTCATTTCAGCCTCCATCTCCAGAGCTCAAACAATCCTCCCACCTCAGTCTCCTGAGTATCTGGGACTGCAGGCATGCACCACCATGCCCAGCTAATTTTTTTGATTTTTAGTAGAGACGAAATCTTGCTATATTGCCCAGGCTGGTCTTGAACCCCTGAACTCAAGTGATCCTCCTGCCTCGGCCTCTCAAAATGTTGGGAGTACAGGCAAGAGCCACTGCACCTGGCCTTGGTGTGCAAGCATTCTTAATATTTGCTTTGACTTAGGTTTTCTTTGAAACAATCATTTCCAGGCCACTTGTCTATTTTGTGAGGGCTAAATTCACTCAATCATATAATTAGTCAAGTTAGTTAAAATTCAATAATATAAATTTAATCTGGCATCTGGAAACTGCAATATGTTGCCATAAACTAAAAGCGAAGAATAGCTGAGGATGCCTGGGCAGAAAAGAGTTAACATAGCAGGCCTGAGACTGTTATCTTTAGAAAGGTCTGATTTGAAGGTTGGTCCTTGGCTGGTATCTGAGAGCTTGGATTCTGGACAGTTCCCACCATCCCCTCAATGATAAGAGCAGCTCACTGTGCCTGAACTGGTTGTGCAAACAACGTGGTTTATGCTGAACACTGCCTTCCTTCTGGGAGTCTGGAATTTTGTTACATAGTAGGCAGACGGTGTCGACATATCCATCCTCCGACTAAAAACCCTGGGCGTGTCATCTCTAATGTGCTTCCCTAGGCAGCATTTCACACATGTGGTCGCTACTCATTGCTGGGGGACTTAAGCGTGTCCTGTGCTCCTCCGCTGTGATAGGGCTATCAGAAGCTGCCACCTGGTTTCCCCTGGACTTTGCCTCCCCACGTGCCTTTTCCTTTGCTGATATTGCTGTGTATTCTTTCAGTGTAATAAGTCATAGCTGCGAGTATGACTGTGTGCTGAGCCCTGAGAGTCCTAGTGAATCATTGAACTTGGGGGTTGTCTTGGAGACTCTCAATGCTGCATCCCATTGCTGTCTGGTGTAGAGAACTGACCAACCACCTTGTCTCTGGGAGCATTCCTGCATACAATCACCAGACACCTACTGCCAGGGCTCCACAGTGAGTCCCCATATTAAGTGTTACTCCAGCTTAAGTTTCTGGGATTTAAACCCATCGCTGCCCCACAGAGCCCTCAGGTTAAACTCCAAATTCTTAGCAGGCAGGGTGCAGCCCCCTCTACCTTACCTCTTCTGATATTTCTCAAACCATCCTGCCCTGCTCAGTCTTTCCCCTCACATCACACTGGCTCATGCTGCCGGGTCTGACACGCGCTGTTTCCTCCACCCAAAATGCCATTCCTTGTTCTTCACAACTTCTCATGCATCCTCTGAAATCCAAACTTGTGAGCCACTTCCTCTGAGAAGCCCACTGAGACCTTGCAGGGAGGTCATGACTACTTCCTCCTCATGACTTCTGCCTTCAAGCATGTTTCTGCTCTGCTGGTCACACAGAGATGACATCTATCTGATTACCTGTCTGCCTCTCCCACTAGATGAAGCTACTGGGAGGCAGGGCCTGCTTTGCCCACCTTTAAATCTCTGGAGCCAAGAGGAGACAATCAGACTGGATGGGCCAGTTTAGGAGGTCATGAACTCTTTGTCACCACAGATGTGCAAGTTGAGCCTGAGCAAGCAAATTAAAGGAAGACCACAGAGAGAACTGGAGCATTTGATAGCAAAAGAGGCTGAGTTCATGGCCTCAGCTGCCCCTTCCACATGCTGTCTGACAGGTAGTGAGCTCCCCATCACTCCACATATTCAAGCAAAGCTTGGAAGACTCCCCCCCTTCTCCCCCTCCATCAGAATGCTCCAGGGGCATTTCCTGCACTGAGGGAGGTTTCATTTAATGACATCCCAGGTGCCTCCCTTCTATGTGGCTCTATGATGCCAAGTAAACGAGAAGGTTTCATCTGAAGGGTTCTAATGATTCTGTTTTCCAATATGTTACCACCAATACAAGTCTCTACTGGTTCGTCAACACCAAATAGCTACTTCACTTTTTCTCCTAAAGTCTTACGTGTGTTTATTTTTCTGATTTAACATCTTTCTTTTTCTCCCCTTAGCCATCAGGTACTCAGCCCCCTCTGCGAACTGCCTTGAACATAATCCATCCATGGGGGAAGACAAACTTTAGGCAGGTAGTGCCCATCTCAGTCCCAGCTATGAAAAAGGAAAAAGAAATGAGAGCAAGTCTCCAAATGGAAGGAAAAATCTATGCCCAGAACAATTCTGCTCAGCCGCTTGCTCCATTGATTTCATGAAGCATGCCTGGGAGGGTGAAGGGCTTTCACTGCCCTTCTGGGGATCAACATGAAAATGGACATACAACCTCTGCTGGCAGGCCTGTTCTGACAGATGACGCATGGGACTGCTGTGCTCCGGGTCTCCTTGTTGCCACAGATTCATGTGGGCTTCAGGCCAGCAAGTCAGATGGAAGAGCAAGCCCTGGTGGCTGGCTGGACACAGGGGCAAGTCACTTTCCTGCTGTCCAAAAGGTTCTCTCAAGGGCCTTTTACTTCATTCTGACTGCTCATCCTAGGTGCTCAATAGTGAGAAGGAGGGAAGAAACTCCCAGAGCGCCCCAAAGCAAGCCCCAGAGCACTGTGAGGTATGAGGTGGGGAAGCTGAGAGGCCTGAGGTCTCCAGGGCCCATCTTGTCTTCTAGGGCAAGGGCGACAGATAAATCCTCAAGTTATAAGACTCTGAAGAGCAGCCTCTAGAAACAGCCCCAGAAGACCCCGTCTTGCTCAGGGTCTTCTGGGTAAGACCTGTATAGAAAATCTTCTCTGGAGCTTAGAGTACAGCAGAGCCTTTCTGGGGGAACGGTGCAGGGGGCAAAGGTGACTCAGGACCCACAGGAGTACTTTGGAACCCGAGTCAGGGCCTAGGGGCCATCTTAGAAGCCTTGGGGCAAATCAGAGAGAGGTTTCTCCTCTGGGAGGAGAAATTTCTGAAAGGCACCCCGTCTGGGCCCTTTCTGAAGGACTCCACTCCTCAAGGCCCTTGAAGCCAACAAACTCCAAGAACTTGGCTCAAAGACCCGATCACAGGCCGAAATTCAGCTCCTGCCCCTGAAGCCAACACCCTTGTGTAGTGCAGAAAGTGCACAACTGCCCTTGGCAGCCTTGGCTCAGGCCACAGAACAATGCAGAATGAGCAAGAGGCCTTTCTTCCTGTTCCCCCACAACCCCAGAAGGTGCCTCAGGACTGGAGGTTGGGGAGCTTTTTGGAAACGCAGCATTCTCAGATGGGTAGTGGCAGGAGGGGGTGGGGTGTGGTGGGGAGGGGGCTGCTGTGTGCCTTCATACAGCTCTGTGGACAGAAGACGTGGACAAGTGGGCGTCAGGGCCAGAGAGGAAGGACTGAGTGGCCACACCATGTGATTGCAGCTGTTGAGAATTCTGTGGGCAAGTATGGTGTATCATTTAGGACTTCCAGAAATAACTGGAGCTCACTCAGAGGGGTCCCTTATTTTAAGTCTTCCCTGATTTGTCCCTTGCTTCTGGGCCTTACCCACTCCCCTAGGCCTGTCTCTGCCAGTGTACACAACATAGTAAATGGGAACTGTTTGTTTACTTAGGTTTTCAATCTACACTGCCAGCTCCTCGAGGACCATGCTCTGTGCCTAGCAGGTGCCTGGGAATGTTATCATATGAATGAATGAATTGTGGGAACAAGAGTGCTGAGCAGAGCCAGGGGTTGGAGTGGCCCACATGTGGGGTGTCTGGAAGGGAGGCCATCATCTGCTTATTGGCTCAGGAGTCTGGGGAGTCCCTGGTTCCCCACTCAGCCCCCTCCTCTGGAAGGGAGTTGGGGGTGGGGAGGCCACTGTCATCAAGCGGGCATCTGTACCCCATCCAGGACTCCAGTTGGCCCAATCAGGCCCTGTGACAGCCAGTCCCTGTGACCCTCTCCTTGAGCTGGTCTGGACCTGCCAGGCAAGGCCACCACCAAACCCTGTGGGTATCTCCTAGCCCAGCCTTCCTGCTGCCTTCTGAAATCACAAAGCATGTTACCATGGCCAGCCATGACAGCCACCTGCAGAAACAGCCCCAAACCCACATTATTACATTGTTTTACTTCTCAACTGCCTCAAAAAGAAAACCCCATGCAACAACAACAACAAAACCACAGATTTATGGCCTTTTAACTAAAAATGTTTCATTAATTCCTACCAGACTTGAATTTACTGGGAGGCCAAGTGGGTGTTCCTAGGCAGCCTTTACCTTTCTAGTTAGAGTTAGAAAATCCCAGTACCTCTAGGAGGGCAGGAAGAGGGCATCACACTCCCCAGTCCAGTGTCTGGGCCTCCCCTGCCCCACCCCTGCCTAGCTGCCATCCATCTGAGCAGAGTGAAGAGGCCGAAGGGGTGCTTCGGGACTCGAACCCCACCCTGCCAGCTGTGATGGAACCGCCCTGCTTCCCGAGGTTCGAGGGTGGGGGCCACAATCCAGTGTCTTCCAGCCCAGGAGCTCCTTCCCTCCCACAGCTGGGCCCCAGGAGACCAGGCTTCTGGTGCTCCCATTTATCTTACACAATCAGTCTCCAAGAGACAAACACAAAAATAAAGCATCAGGTACTAATCTTATCCCTGCTCTTCCAAGTGCGGTCTGGGGATGTGGCATCAGCATCCCCTGAGAGTGTGTCAGGAATGCAGAGGCCCCCTTCTAGACCCGCTGCATTCCATCCAGACCCCCAGGTGGCTCAGTGCACACTGAGTAGCACTGTCTGTGCATGCAGGAGCTGGGATGGGGGCCACCCTTTGGCAAGGGGAGGAGGGTTGGGGCAGATAGGAACCAGAAGGAGACAGGGAGGGCCTCTGGGATGCTGATAAGGTCCTGCTTCTTGATATGGATCCTGGATTCACAGTTGAGTTCAGTTTGTGAAAATTCACTGAGTGCCACACTTATAATATACATACTTTTTTTAAGTAGAAAAGTAGATAAAAGAGTTGGGGTGGTCAGCAAGTAGAGGCAGCTGGGAGCTAAAGCTGAGTCACGCTCTTCTGAGCGTCCCTCAGGGCAGCCCTGGGCCAAACTGGCTTCTTAGGCCAGATTCCAACCACTACATGGCCGCAGCATCCTCAGAGGTCCCGTCTGTGTCATTCTTACCTCCCTTGCTGCCTGCCCCAAAGCCCCTTTCAGCACTCAAGGTGGCAGAGGCAACCACCAGCTTGGCTTTGACTTAGGCAGGACCCAAGTCTGTTCCCGCCCCAGTTTTGGTAGAGCAAGGCCACAGAAGGCCAGAAGTTGCCATGGGTACCTACACCAAGCTGGCCAGCATCAACCGGTTTTCCCAGCCTCTTCTTTTTTATCTTTTTTTGAGACAGGGTCTCCCTCTGTCACCCAGGCTAGAGTACAGTGGCACGATCTTGGCTCACTGCAACCTCTGCTTCCCAGGTTCAAGTGATTCTCCTGCCTCAGCCTCCTGAGTAGCTGGGACTATAGGCGTCTGCCACCATGCCTGGCTAATCTTTGTATTTTTAGTAGAGATGGGATTTTACTATGTTGGCCAGGTTGGCCTCGAACTCCTGACCTTAGGTGATCCACCCGCCTCAGCTTCCCAAAGTGCTGGGATTACAGGCATGAGCCACCGCACCTGGCCTCCCAGCCTCTTTATCCCAAGTTTACTCTGCTTTATCAGTGTCTCTCTTAATGGTATCCAGAGGTGAACACAATTATCCAGACATAGTCCCATCATTCGTTCATACATAATGATAACAGCTAAGATGTATGAAGCCTTACTGTGTGACAGGCACTAGATGCTTTACATACATGATCTCATTTAATCCTCACAACCCTATTATTATCATCCCCATTTTACAGAAGAGGAAACTAAGGTTCAGAGATGTTAAATAGGGTAAACAAAAGCCACTGAATTGTACACATTAAAAGGGCAAAATTTATGGTATGTGGATTATATCTTAATTTAAAAAAATCTGAGACAAAAATTTTGGTAATATTGGCTGGGATAGGTGGTTACCAGATCCCTAAGAACTTAGTTGACTTTTTTTTTTTTTCTGGTATAAGCCAGCTAATAAAAAATCAGAATAGTCTTGCTTTCTAATGAAACATCTCAATCATCTTTGTGGTCCAACAGAGCTAGTTTTAAACTTCTTCCCTGCTGCCTAGCAGTGTGTGACAGGGCTTCCGTTTTCTGCTCCGTCAGGTGGGGACAGTGAACTTGGCCTTGTCAGGTGGTTGTGAACGAAAGGCTGCCCCTGGCTGAAAGCTGGCCTTGGTGACTCGCAGAGGCTGAGGGCACAGGCTCGGGAGTTAACAGGAAGCTGTTACTACCCCACGCCCAGGAATGCTTCTGAGAGCCCAGGAAGCTGCGTGAGGCCCACGCTGGGATCTAAGGTCCGCCTGGAGCCTCCTCATCCTGTCTGCAAAGCCCCTTCTTACTCCTCCCCCGCTCGAGCTGGGGTTTCTGCCTCAGATCCACAAGGAAGGCAAGTGCTTTTTCTCATCCCCACCTGCTGGACTCCTTGTCTGGGCAGACAGGGGCTGGGATCCCAGAGCCGGGTCAGCTCAGCTGCCGGGGTCCATCCCTTCCCCCTGGCACTGGGGCCCTGGCCACGCCCAGCACTGTCCTTGCAGACAGCTCCACGTCCACAGGGGCCACGTTGCTATGGTGACTCCACTACCCGCACAGTGTCCAGGGAGACAGCACGGGGTATAGCTGGAGCTGTTCTCAAGACTTGGAGAAACCGGCACTGACAGTCTGGGAAGATTCTGGAAAGGGTCAGAGGGAGTGGGGGATGGGAACTAAGAGAAACTGCATCCCTAGGAGTAGCACTGTGTGTGGGTGAATCTGTGTGCACGCACTCACACACGCACCCACCCTCGTCCGAGCAGAGGTGTAGCCCCTAGAGAGGCCTAATCTTGTGACTGTCATAGGTTTCTGCCTGAGGGGGTATTCATGGTTTCTCACTGTGTTAAGCTGCTATTTTGAAAACTAAAAGGGAGAAAAAAGCGGCATGTATATGGCAGCAGAGCAGACAGAACTGTGACTTCGGCTGCGCCATGTCTGAACCTGGTCTCATGGTCTACCTTGTCCCCTGTCCTTTAAGATTTACAGAACCCAGTGTGGGACACCAGGAAATTACACTGTGACGAGGATGCAAGGTGACAAGCTGTGATGCCTATCCCTCCTCCTACATCCCTCCATGCAGCACTCTCCCTGAGTTCCAGGCGGCTTGTCTGAATCGTCTTGTTTAACCCACACTGCAATCCTGCAGAGGGAAAACTGTTATGCTCATTTTACAGATGAGAAAACTGAGGTTAAGTCACTTGCTGCAGTCAGGAGCTAGTAAGTGGAGGAGGTGGCAGTCGAATGCAGGCTGTTGTTGGAAGATCCGTGATCACTACACCATAGGGGCCTGCTTCTCCTTGCAGCTCCCCACTCGGTGGGAGTTTGCTGGGAGCAGCCTTCTAGGTCCGAAGGACAGAATCCATGGCACCAAGTGAAATTAAGGAGCTGCCCACCCTGGAATAGCAGGTGGAATACAACCCAAATTGTACCCATCAGGCACTGGTACTTAGGCCCTAAATTCAAGAGCTTTCACTTCCTCTTCCTGGGCAATATTGAGAATTAGTAAATAAATGGCCCCAGCCCTAACCCATGTACACCTCTGTGCTGACCCGATTCAGTCCGGGGTAGATAATCTATGCCTTTTCCCCACAGTCATGCATGTGGACTCCCCTTTGTAGAGCTTCTAAAACAGCCTTGACTGCAAATAAATTAATTCTCAGGGGCAGCAAGAACTGGGCCCTAATATCTTTTCGGGCCCTCATTTTCAGAGCCGATGCTGATTTGTAAAGCGCTTTATGATTTATTCATATCAGCCTTCCCCGGCTTCCCAGGACAACCTTCCCCTCACACAAATGAGCGTGACTCCCAGAATAGAACATCAGGCTTCATTAAAAAGAAAAGCCCTGGGTGTGGGGGATGTCCCTGTTTTTGCTCCCTAGCCTGCGTCACCCTGTGGTTGTTGAATTCAGGTCAAACTTGAGAAAGCACCTGTGCTTTCATAGCCTTTGGCTTGTGAACAAGGCGAGATGTCAGGAACTTCTTTCTGGGAAGGAGAGAGTTTCTAAAGGCTGGGCAGCCCTTCATGTCTGCTGCAGGAATCTCTGCAGTGAAGATTGAATGCCTCAGGACACCTGAGGCATTCCCAGGTGTCCAACAGCAAGTGATGAGGAGATGGGCAGAGTGGCCCCCGGGAAGGACTGGGGCCATGGCAGAATGAGGGTAGGGTTTTGCTCCACCGGTTCTCAACCTGGGGAACAAGGCAAGCCCCTTGCCTCTCAGGGATGCCACTGAGAAACTGGAGTTGCCAAACTTGCCCCCAGTATCTTTTTTTTTGAGACCGAGTCTCGCTCTGTCGCCCAGGCAGGAGTGCAGTGGCACGATCTCGGCTCACTGCAAGCTCCGCCTCCCAGGTTCACGCCATTCTCCTGCCTCAGCCTCCTGAGTAGCTGGGACTACAGGCGCCCGCCACCTCGCCCAGCTAATTTTTTGTATTTTTAAGTAGAGATGGGGTTTGCCATGTTGGCCAGGTTGGTCTTGAACTCCTGGCTCCAGGTGATCTACCCGCCTCGGCCTCCCAAAGTGCTGGGATTATAAGCATGAGCCACTGCACCCGGCCCCAGTACCATTTCCATTACTGTAATCATCACTGTGTCCTAAAACTTGGGGAGGAAGCCTAAGCACAGATGGAAGAGAGAAATCCTCACTTTCCTCGTTTAACTTCATCAGGGTCCCTCAGGAGCAACCTTTTATTCAGGCCTCACCACTGCCCAGGAAAGCTGACCATAAATAAATTGTATGCCCATGAAATTGTTAGGCATCTCAGGGCACAAAAGTCATGCTGATGTAGGAATATCAGAGACTCAGTGGCCTTCACACTTCCACTAAAACTAGCGAGACTTCCATGCGCTTTGGTTATCATTCTCATGCCAGAAGGCCACCCTTGTTTTTTTCTTTTTTTTGAGATGGAGTTTCACTCCTGTGGCCCAGGCTGGGGTGCCATGGCGTGATCTCGGCTCACTGTAACCCCTGCCTCCCAGGTTCAAGCGATTCTCCTGCCCTCAGCCTCCTGAGTAGCTGGGATTACAGGCATGCGCCTCCATGCCCGGCTAATTTTGTATTTTTAGTAGAGATGGGGTTTCTCCATGTTGGTCAGGCTGGTCTTGAACTCCTGACCTCGGGTGATCTGCCTGCCTCAGCCTCTCAAAGTGCTGGGATTATAGGTGTGAGCCACTGCACCTTGCCCCAGGAGGCCATACTCTTTAGAGAACAACCCCACTGAACCACACCCACAAGGACTTTTGAGAAGCTCAGCTTCTTTGGAAGCTGACTGCAGGCACAGTGAAGCCAGGGACTTGCATCTTTTGTATTCACCTTCTTCACTCCCAGACGGGCAGAATAATGGGAATTAGTCTCATGCCAGAAGGCCATACTCTTTTGATCTTTTGGTGGGAATGAGCCAGTGCCAGGCTTGGAGTGAAAAACTCTTGAGTGGGAAGAGTGAACCAAGTGACCCTGGAGCACTGGGGTTTGACAGTCATGCAGGTCCCTCCAGGAGAGGAGAGGGGCCTGAACACACCAGTGACCTCACTACCCCCTCAGTTACTGGGGACTCGACCACACACTTCTCAAGGCACTGCCCAATTGAGGATAAAGTAAATGTATCTGTAGACCTCTCTCTGGCTAGACAGCTCACAGTGAAGTTACTGGTAACAGGAACAATTTCTCGATGATGTGTAACAGTCAGTCCAGTTTAATCATTCGCAGAAATCCTGGGAGCAAAATCCCCTAGACTGTAAGATCTTGGGGGGCTTCCCTTCTTTCCATGTGCTGTCCCAGAGCAGAGGGACTGGCCTGGACTCAGTCCTCAAAATCTGGGGTGTGAGTGGGGACTTGCAGCACATTTAAAGGGTGCTTCGTTTAAGCATCCCTCACTGCTAGCCTTCAGCCCTCATCATCCAGCAGTGGGCAACACTGAGGCTTGTGAGCAACAAATGCAGTCTAAAAAAGGCTGCTTTGCAAAAAAGGGCCCACAGTGCTCTCAACGTCTTGAAAGAAAACAGCACCAACAAAGGAGTGGCTTTTGGATGAATCCACTCAGCACCGATCTTTTGACCATCCCCTCTAGCTCTGGTCTTCCAGGCAGGGGACTGGATGAATTACTGCATGTGGGACTCTAAAGAGACCCAGCTGGCTAACCCCATTTGGACAGATCATAGTCAATGTCCAGAAATACATCCCAACTGATTACTTTATTCTTAAAAAGTAAGTTCATGATATTTTCAACTGAGAGTTAGTTCCATAAAACTATTAAGTGATTGCTAATACATAACCCCCTTTAAAAAAATAACTAGGGAGGCCGAGGCAGGCAGATCACCTGAGGTCGGGAGTTCGAGACCATCCTGACCAACATGGAGAAACCCCGTCTCTACTAAAAATATAAAATTAGCTGGGCATGGTGGTGCATGCCTGTAGTCCCAGCTACTCAGGAGGCTGAGGCAGGAGAATCACTTGAACCCAGGAGGCGGAGGTTGCAGTGAGCTGAGATCATACCATTGCACTCCAGCCTGGGCAACAAGAGTGAAACTCTGTCTCCAAAAAAACCCAAAAAACAAAAAAAAATAAAAGGCATTTCTTTAGGCATTAAACTTTTTAACATGTTAATTAACTTTAAAAATAATCTTTCTAATGTATAGTAAATTAGTTACACTGCTTTGGACTTCATTAAATATATATATATCTCAATAGGGATGATACAGCCCCCTTGGGGGCAACTGTTGGTTCTTGAATGTGAAGAAACATTACTCTTTTTTACGTATAAACCATAGATATATATATAAAGTACACAAACAGATATACATTACATTTCTGGTATTAAACTTTCATAAGAGGAATCATTAGGAAAAAATGTCTAAAAATGCTCCTTAGGGGAACAATAAGGAAAAAACCGTTGAAGAAAACACCACTTAAATAGAAAATAACAATTATAGCTTTTACCATATAACTCAGTCAGACATACAAAGATCTATCGTCATATTCTTTGATGGTTTTTGAGGTAGATGGGAGGATCTGTTCCTTCTTAAACGATCCTGACCCTGACTCTGACCCTTGGCGCTGATGCTTTTCTGGAAGATAATATTTTTCCCCTCCTTTTCTATGTTACTCTGTCAATTCTCAGTGGGCTCTCTTCTAACAGTGGCCTGGTAAGTCCAGTATCTTTATTTCCGAGACAGGGTCTTTCTCTGTTTCCCAGGCTGGGGCACAGTGACGCGATCACAACTCACTGCAACCTTGATCTTTGGGCTCAAGCAATCCTCCCTCCTCAGCCTCCTGAGAAGATGGGACTACAGGTGTACACCAGCATGCCTGGCTAATTTTTTTTTGTATTTTTTGTAGAGACAGGGTTTCACCATGTTGCCCGGGCTGGAAGTCCATTATCTTAACTTTGTAGGTGGTATTTATACCCAGTGATGGCCTGACAGTAACACCGTTCTTCCCTGTTGAGTTGAAAACTACTAAATGGGTTGTTCCCTGCCTGTTCATGTATTTTCATGTATTTCTGGGTTTGCATCTGTGTTTTCGATGACTGAGGTCACCAAGGAAACTTTCTATCATATACCACTGGCTTATGCAGAATGACTTACGGTGCAAAGTGTTTCAAAGGTCTTTTCAGAGACAAAGGATCCATCAAGGCCAAAGAGAAATATGGAAGCATAGGAGAGCATCCCTCCAAGGATGATAAGGTTGTTCATGTATGGACTCGACATCTTTATGAGCCTGACAAGAGAAAGAGACAATAGATTTAACAGAATGGTTAATTTAGTTATTCCTTCAACAGGTATTTTCTAAACGCCTGCTAGATATATATTGTTGCTCAGGCTAGAGGGGAGAGAGAGAAACAGAAATACGCCATGGGGCCTCAGGGGACACATCAGCAGGAAGTCCCACATTTCTAGTCAGATTTTCCCCAACACCCAGGTGCTCACTCTGGAACCTTCCCCTTACAGAGAAATAATGAAAAGCTCTGGTTTCCTCTACCCTCCTCCCCACCTACTGTTTGTCCTTCACTAAAAGACCTCAGACAACTATATATTTCTAATTGTTGATTTCCCTGCCTCCTTTGTCAAGTTCACCTATTACTTCCCAAGGGACAGCTTGTCACATCAGCTTCTTCATCCATTAATTTTCAGTTTAAACAAAAGCATTAAGTCAACAGGTTTTTTTTTTTTTTTTTGGCTGGAACTAAGAACTCATGTCAAATCTAGAGAATGTGACATGTAACTTCAGCCACGTTCCCCACAGTGAGGAGAAAGTCCCATACCACACTCCCCAGCCTTGAGTAGACCATGTCAAGGAGGCCTAACTGTGAGTCTCAGGGTTGCTTAGGAAAGCTCACACTGTTCCGTGCACAAAGACAGCCACACATGTGGGCAGGAATACCTCTCCCAGTCACCGGGTGACAGAGGGAGACACCAGAGTCCGCAACCCACCCACTACCCCTGTCTTCACTAGGCTGCAGTGGGGAGCAGGGAGCATTCTTTATACTTCCAGACGCTGCATCCTTCTCTGTCATTTCCTCCCGGAACCCTGTGGTGGCCTCCAGCTGCCCAGCAAGCCAGGGTCATCAGTGGGCTTGTAGGTGCCTGGCCCCCCCAGCACAATCAGCTCAGAAGGGCTTCAGGTTTTAGGCGCCCTGTGGTTGAGGGGCTCTTTTGCAGACTGTAATTACAGCCAATTGTTCCCCAACATTTTCCTTTGCATTCTCCAGTTCTGTTAACCCTTCACATTTTAAACATGCAATACGTCAAAGGGAGAGGGAAATAAGAAGCCTGCTGCTCTTCCTCTGTGAACTGCACCCCGGCTTTCAAGTTGGGAGCAGGGGGTCCAGGGCTTAGACTCGGCCACTCCATAAAAGTGACACCTTGACAAATCACTTAGCCTGGCTGAATTTCCTCACCTGTATAACTGATCCTGTTGCCTTGGACACACATGAAGCTGAGATGACGCTGGGTCCTTGGAGGTCCTTTTGTAAACCGTGAACTACTTAGGTGCCTCAATTCTTATTACTACAGCAGTCAGGGGAGGGGAGAGCCTGGGGGTTGGGGCAGGCTTCCCAGAGGAGGTGGGCCTTATAGGATGGATTTAGGAAGACAGAAGTAGGGGGAGGGATTGGGAACCATAGCAATATTTTTTTTCTATCTTTCTGCAGATTTTTAAATAGCCAAGCCAGTTAAAAAACAAGACAAAACAAAACAAAAAACTTCACCTGGATGCCAGCCTCTTGAAAAGAGTAATGGTAACTTTCCCCCAGGAGGCCAAGAGGGGGTAGTTAAGGAATTCAATGAGTTTAGTCTTATGATGGGGCAACTTGCTGTCCTGATGGGACTTCTCGAGGCATCTGGGCTGTCAATCTAACTTTGAGAGCTGATTATGTGCCCAGGCCTGTGCCAAGTGCTAAGAGGTATGTTGAGCATTTAAGGTTTGTATGGAGTGGACAAAAGTTGCCTCACTTTTTTTTGTGGCAGTATATGTGCTATTTGTTGTAAGTAAAATAAAATAACAGGAGAAGAAAACTCTTTTCTGTTTTTCAGGAAATAGGTTTGACCTAAGCAACTGCTATCAAAAAAAGCCAAACAAACAACAAAATAACCCCGGACACAGTGGCTCATGCCTCTAATTCCAGCAACTTGGGAGGCTGAGGCAGGAGGATCGCTTGAGTCCAGGAGTTTGAGAAAAGCCTAGGCAGCATAGTGAGACTGTCTCTTAAAAAAGTAAAATAAAATAAAATAAATTAATTAAAATAATTAATTAATTAATTAAAAAACCAAGCACACACACAAAAGTCTAGAGCCTCCAAATTCCTTCTTTGCAAGCAGGGAGAAATTTAAAAATCTCAAAAACCAAAAAAACTGTTTTCTTCAGAATCAGACTTGTTCCCGACAGCCCACGAGTTCATGCAATGTGGCTTCTGGGCACCATGGCAGAGCCATGGCACCATGTAGGTGGTCACTGTGGCTGTCCCCATGACGGCCCATGCTCTGCACCCCTGCTTATTCCACAAAAAGGCTTGGGGCTGGGTTCAGGGATTTGCTATGGACACCAAAGAAGCAAAATGCACTTGGTAAAAACCACCGCCTGGAGTGGCGGCCTGTTCTACCCATGACTGACCAGAATAACTCAGTCAGCCTCTCTCCTCTGGAGAATTAAGGGCACGTGGTGGGGAAAAGAAATTAAGACAAGAAACCAAGAAGACAGTCTGCCACGAGTGGACAGCAGCACTCTGTCGCTGAACTTCAGGGCTTTTCTCTGTGAAATGAGGAGTTATCCGGAGGGTCATACGGGATGATGGAAGGGAGGGCTTCCTGGCCGTAATGAACTGTACCAATGGGAGTCCATTTCACTGGACTTTGTGACCCCCTTCAGTGGTGATTCCCAGCGATGCTAGGGGATAGGGGCAAAGAAGTTTGGGGTATTCTGTCTTCTATATCTCTCCTCCTGGACCTCCACAAAGTACAGGAGTATATCCAAAGCTCTGAGAAGGCCCGTGGACTTGGACTCTTCGATTTTATTTAACTTCCTCAAACTTATTTGACTAAACTCCTGTGCAACCAGCAGCCTGGCCTCTGTGTGTGTGTGTGTGTGTGTGTGTGTGTGTGTGTGTGTGTGCGTGCACGCACACACACGTACTCACATGCATGTAACACCTACAACATCCTAGCAACGGAGGAACACTTTGGGAAACTCTGCCCTGCAGACTTCTGTGTCCCTGGGGAATCTGTCATGTGGCACTCCTATACTGTGTCCATAGGCTTGTCAATTTAGAAAGTGATATCACAGAGGAGGACCAGGGTGGCTTACTTCTGATTCCGGTTCTTGATGTTGAAGAAGAGAAAAGCACTGGCCATGATCATCCCGAGGATGGTGAGGGCAGAGAGGATGCTGTAGAGAGGTAGGGAGATCTTCCGCAGCTGCTCCAGGATGATGGTCTTGTCTTTTGGTGGTTCGGATCCTAGAGGATCAAGAGAAGACATCAGTGGGACCCAATGCAAGTCATTCCCCGAGAACACCTTTGCCTTAGTGTCCCTGACATCCAGCCAGGCCCTGCGCACAAACTCTACACAAGGCACATCTATCTACCGGGTGAGCCAGATCCGGTGGTTGGCCAGTCTGCTCAACAGGGAGCCTGAGCTAGGACTGTATTTCTTTCTCTAAATAGAATCAATAAAGGATTTGTGATGCATTTAATAGCCATTAGAAGACTAGAATTTGATTTGGTCTAATTACACTATTGAAAAACCATCACCATTTATCCCCCAAGGCAACAACGGCCTGGAAGCACAGGGCTGGGTGATGTGAGTGGGTACCCGTGGGTGCCTTCGGGGATGAAGAACTTGGCTTTGGCCTCAAGATCTCTGCTCCTAAACATACACAATAAATGATCCCTCCTCAACAGGATGGACACCTTGCCTGTTGGTTCCATGGTGACACATAGGTGTTTTGGCTGCAGAATTTCTGCTTCAATGTCATTGTGTTTTAAAAGCTCTATCTGGCTTTCTGTTTCCACAAGACTCTGAGTAACTGTGGGAGGCAGAAGCTACCTTCCTCTCCCTGCTGTGCCAGAACTGGCCTGGAACTGTGGGATTCCATTTCTCTATGTGACTGCAGAGGTGCGCTGCTCATTCTTCAAGAGCACAAGGAACTCGGGGGAACCCTGAGGGTTTCAGAGCAAATCCATCTTTCAGTCCTGTTTTAGTTTTAGCAGACATAGACTGGTTTGGGATGAGGGATTCAGGGACTCCCCCAGCTTCCTGCGAATCCCTCTTTCTTAGCTGCTATTTTAGGTCAGGTTTCTGCTGTGGAATTGTGAAACTTCAGGGCTTTTCTCTCCAGTAGGGGTATGTGGAATCAGCCGGATGTTACAAAGTAGCCAAGCCTGGGAATCTGGGAGCCCCACCAGGGTCCCAGTTATGCCTCTCTTCCCAGGAGACAAGCAGGAAAGGGGCAGATGTGGTAGCAGGGAGTGAGAACTCCCCTGAACATCTGGGTTTAAAACACTGCTAGCAAGTTCAAATGTGTTTAGAAATATTCAGTGGCTTTGGCTGAGCGTGGTGGCTCATGCCTGTAATCCCAGCACTTTGGGAGGCCAAGGCGGGTGGATCACTTGAGGTCAGGAGCTCGAGACCAGCCTGGCCAACATGGGGAAACCCCGTCTCTACCGAAAATACGAAAATAGCTGGGTGTGCTGGTGCACACCTGTAGTCCCAGATACTCGGGAGACTGAGGCAGGAAAATCGCTTGAACCCAGGAGATGGAGGCTGCAGTGAGCCAAGATTATGCCACTGCACTCCAGCCTGGGTGACAGAGCAAGACTCCATCTCACAAAAAAAAAAAAAAAAAAAAAAAAAAATAGAGAGCGAGAAACATTCAGTGGATTAAAAGAGTTTGAACCATGTAAGAAATTTAGGAAAGTTTCCAGGTTTGAAAACATCAAGGAACCTGCTGATGTGGTTAATGTGAAGCCTTAAGCAATTCCATGTAAACTAACATTTATAAGAAAAGTGGCATCAAGGGCCAAAAGTCTGGGCTAAAGCAGACACAAGGAGATGGAGGTAACATCATTTCTTGCTTCCAGATGGTGAAAGCTCACCATCTGGAAGCTTCTTCCACCTCTGTCCATCATCCTTCCCCAAACACCTGGCTCAGGTGCCTTCTGGCTACCAAATGCAAGAACAGTGCTGGGGCATCTGTGAGATCCTGGCTGGAAACAAGCCCTTCTATGGACACTGAGAAAGAAGACTGAGGTTTGGTTCACAGGTGATATGATCACTACTGGGTTTGGGGCCTATTGTATAGAAACAACTCCAGAAAATTGACAATAGACAAGAGAAAGTTGTCTCCTTCTTACTCCTTCTTCTGTTCCTGCAAAATGATGGCTCCACAAGGGGTATTAAGACTTTGTGGAAACCAAATGCTTGGTTTATCATGAGTATTAGTAACAGCAGAAGTCCTGAGTTTTCTTTCTCACTTTTCATCTGGTCCATTCATTCATTATTCATCCATTCATTGCCATTCACTCATTCATTCATCATTAATGATGATTAATCACAATTAATAATCAACTCCCATCTGTCAGGCCTGAGACTGAGCACCAATGATACAAAGATGAAAAATACACTGTCCCTGCCTTCAGGGAACTTACACACTAGCCATAGGAAAAAAGAAAAAAGCACTAATAAGCAATCCTATTTATTGAATGCCTATGACAAGCTAAGCAAGATACAGAGATTTTCCCACTTGATCCACCCAACAGCCTCAGGGGTAGTTAAGATTATTATCATTTGACAGAGGGGACAATGGTTTTCTAGGTGTTAAGTGGCTCTTACAGCTAGTAAGTGGCAGGATTTGAACTCAGATCTGCCTAACCCTGAAGCTTATGGTCTAACTACTACACAAACTGCTGCCCGTGACGCTGGGGTCCAGGTGATGTGATAACATCAGACAGGAGGCCTGAGAGCGAGCAGGGAGCAGAGTGCAGTCCTGCCTGACGGGGTAAGGAAATGCTACAGAAAGGAGGTGACGAAGGAGCTGAGTCTCGAAGGATGAGTAGAGTAGTTGGCTGTTGGCCAGGAAGATGAGAAGGAAAGAGCATCCTGGGCAGAAGGCACAGCATGAGCCAAGGCCCAGTGGTGTTTCAGGACAGTTGAGGAACTGTAAGCAGTTTAGTTGGGGGGAATCTGAGAGAGGAGACAGAGAAGCGAGGAGGGGTCCCTTCATGGAGGCCTTGGGGCCACAGCTCAGAGTGAGGTCCCCTCGCTCTGAGCAGTGGGGACGTGCGGGGCTCTGAGCAGAGGTGGCATCTTAAGCCTGGCATGACAGCAAGGGCACTTTGGCTGCTGAGGGCAGAATGGATTGAGGAGGGAAGGCTAGCACAGCTGTGAGAAGCCTCACTGGGGGCTAGTGTAGGGGTCCGAGTGAGCGGGGCTGAGAGCTGAACCCAGGCCAGGTGTGGATAGAAGGCCTGGGCTCTGCCCTGACCTGCCTGGGCTCTGTGTTCAGAGGCTGATTATTCACGGTCTTGGTAGTGGGGAAGGTCTGAGAAGCAGGAAGTATGCCTGGCACAGCGGCTTCCTGTGTTCTCTCAGCCTGGGGGCAGAGCCCGGGGCTGAAAGGCAGGGCCTGGGCATCACCAATGAAGACCTGGTACCCTCTGACTGTTGTTTAGCCACTGTCCTGGCTACTGGTCCCTGCCCCACCAAATTCGTGTTTTTCCTGTAAGTTGTATTTTGTGTCTTTTATTTGTTTGGCGCTTGAATCTTTTCTTCAATTCGTAAACCCAGAGTCCTTGTTCAGTAAACCCTGATCTCCCCAGTCCGATAGCAGACATGCCGATCTTGGGGATCAGGGCTCTGGTGGTTACAACAGGCTGTGTGAATCTGGGGTGTCACCCTTGAGGTAATACTTGACGATATGTCTGGTGACAGCTCCCTCAGTTGGGATAGGGAGGCTCACCTGAGTGTGGAGACCATTCTGGTTCTCAGAGGCTGACTGGAGTTTTGCTTTGCAATGTTCTCAAGGCTGAATCCCTCAGGTCCAGTGGAAATATAGGAACATGACAGAGTCTAATCAAAGGGCCTGCGGAAGAGCCTTCTCTGGTGCCCTTGCTTTAAAGAAGGAACTTAAAAGCTCCTGGCACAGAAAGCCAGCTGTCCCAATTTCTGCTGACCCACTGGAATCAAAGTAACAATATGGATGTGGCAGCTTTCTCTATTGCTATTAAGTGACTAGACTGTCTGTTTGTCCATCCGTCCATCCACTGTCCATCTGTCTACTCATCCACTCACCCTCCTATACATCTATCTATCCACTACCCATTCATCCATCCATCCACTTGATCAATTCATCCATCCATCTACACAGCCATCCATCTGTCCACCCATCTACCTGTCCATCTATCCACTCACCCACCCACCCAACCCACCCACCTATCCATCTATCCATCCATCCGCCCATTCACACACCCATCCATGCATCCACCCATCCATCCATCCATCCATCCATCCATCCATCCATCCATCCACACACCCACTCATCCACCCAACCATCCATCCATCCACTCATCCACTCATCCACCCAACCATCCATCCATCCACTCATCCACCAACCCATCCATCCATCCATCCATCCATCCATCTATCCATCCACTTGATCAATTCATCTATCCATCTACCCAGCCATCCATCTGTCCACCCATCTACCTGTCCATCTATCCACTCACCCACCCACCCACATACCTATCCATCTATCCATCCATCTGCCCATTCACACACCCATCCAGGCATCCACCCAACCATCCATCCATCCATCCATCCATCCACACACCCACTCATCCACCCAACCATCCATCCATCCACTCATCCACCAGCCCAACCTTCCATCCATCCATCCATCCACACACCCACTCATCCACCCAACCATCCATCCATCCACTCATCCACCAGCCCACCCACCCATCCATCCATCCACTTGATCAATTCATTTTGTCATTAAATACCACCAAGTCTCCAACATGCATCAGACCTTGGCTGGTGCCAGGAATTTAAAGTTAAATAGGATCCAGTCAGGGGCTCATAGCTGAATCACCTAGTAATATCAATGTAAAGTGACAGTGGCCATAAGAGAGGCAGAGAAGAAAGACTGGAAGCAAAGAGAAGGGAGTCATTAGCTCAGTTGGATGGCAATTAAGGAAGATCGCACAGAAGAGGTGTCATTTGAGCTGGTTATAGAAGCTGAAGAGGAGTTCTCTAGCAGAGGAGAAGAAATAATCTTCTAGGAAGAGCAGCAGATAGACAGGCCTTATTTCCAACCCAGTCAAACCCTTTGCCAGAGGAGAAGATAGACCTAAATTTAGCAGGGCTACATTTAAAAAGAATTACTCCTGGCCATCCAATGGTTTAAACACCTCAGTGTGCACTTCATACAAACTCTAGTGACCCATGCCAGGTGCTGGAGCCCATACAAGTGATTGGAGCCCTGTGCTCAACGATTGAGTGCATGTGTTGAGGATGTTCCCTTGACCCCCTGAAGCCAAGGATGCTGAGCTTGTCCCTAACCCTTAGACAATGTCCAGGCTTGGGAGCAACTGGGCAGGCCCCCTCCTCTGAGAAGCCCACCTGCCTTACCTTGGAACCTGATGGTGTCATTGATGATCTCCAGTGTGTCGGCCACAGCGTTGTACTCTCCCACCTTCACCTCCCTGCTGTCTGTGGGGAGCAAAAGACAGTGGCCAGTTAGACTGGGATCTGGGTTTGTGTCTGGGTGCTCCTATTCCAGGCTCTTGCTCCCCTCACAGGCCCTGGATATATTCTGGCAGGCTTCCCTTTCTCCAATGCCTCTTCTGGTTAGAATCACAAAACTTCTAACCTGATCTAGGCTGGAACATTCTCTTGCATTGTCTCTGTCTCATCAACTGGTTGTCCATCCTTTGCTTCACACCTCAAAGATGGGGAGCCCAGGCTCCCTACAACTGTACTCTGTCTGGTACCAAGTTCTTCCTGGTCACTGAGCTGAAATGTTTCCCTGTAACATTCCCCCTGCTCAACTGGCTCTGCCCTCTAGAACCACACAGACCATTTTTGCTCCATCTTCCCTAGGATAGGCCCAGATACTTGAAGACAAAGACAGGTCAGTCTGCTGATACCACCCCCCAACTCCTCTTTACAGAACAGCACTTCAATCTCCCTGCTCCCCCACCCCAGCCCCTCCTTGGGCCACATTCCATAAAGTCAGTCTTTCTGTAGAGTGTAGATCCAAGGACTGACCAGTGCACTTTTGGCATGATTTGGTCAGCAGCAAGTAGAGGCCACCATCCCTTCCCTCATTCTGGAGTTCACATTGCTATTATATGCATCCTTAGGTTGAATTTGCATCTTTCAGAAGCCACATTGCTCTGCTGTGTCATACTAAGCATAATCTCCCACTGCTCTTGGCTCCTTGCACTTGTTCAGTGTGTTTTTAAACCCAAGTGGTGCATTCAAATTTACTCTCAACCTTCTTACAGTTCTTGGTGTGTTTAGTTCATTGTTTTGGTCATCGTCAAGGATAAAGATGATGAGGACTGGCCCAGAGTGGTGGCAGAAGAAATGGAAATGGGGATCAGATTTAAGCAAGGTTTCTTTTTTCCAGGTAAAATCAGGACAACTGAGTGATCAAATGGGAGATGAAGAAGAGGGGGACCAAGGTCATCCAAGGTTCTGGTGGGGATGAGGAGTTTCAGTTCCCATCCCTGAGCAGAGAACCCAGGAGGGCTTCAAATACAAGGGGAAGAATAATGAGTTCCATCTTGGATGTGCTGAGCCTGGGATGCCTGTGGAGCATCAAGGCAGAGATGCTCTTGAGTCTAGAGCTGAGGGGAGAGGTGTGGCTGGGGGGCGAGCAGGAGTCATCGGCATGGAAGATGGGAATCGGAGTTGGAGGCAGGAATGAGACCCCCAGGGAAAGTGAGCCAAGTGAAAAGAGGAGAGGATCAAGTGCAGACTCTGGAGGAGCCCTGACCCCTGGGGTGGGCAGAGCAGAGACTGGGAAGGGGTGACCAGGATGCAGGAGCAGGGTGTTGGGAGGGAGTGGGCATCTTAGAAGCCAAGGAAAGGCACACCTTCACCATGGAGCTGGCTGCAGTGTCACATGCCACAGAGAGGCTGGGAGAAGACCCTTGAGCAGGGTCTGAGGATCTGGCATCTGGGAGGATACCAGCGAACATGGATGAAGCAGATTTAGGGAAAGGTTGTGGTTAGAAGGATGGAGCAAGGGGCAGTGAGTTTGAGGGCAGGGATAGGGCCCCCAGGGAAGAGCAGGCTTGAGAATGGTGGGGAGCAGGTAGGAAGGGCTGGGGGTACTGACCGAGCCTCTATAGTGTGCTGGATCAGTGCTATTTTATGTACATTTTCTTGCCTAGCTAAAACAGTGTGTGGAGTAGGTGGTCTCAGTCCCACTTAAAGACAAGGAGACGGAGGCTCAGACAGCTTGTGGCTTTGCCTAGGGCCCCAGTGGTAATAAGAATAGAGGCCAGACTCAAACCCTGGACATTTTCCATAGCCCATGCTCTTCCCTGACACGGGGGTGCCTTGATGGGATTCCTGAGAGGTGACAGTTTGTGCCGAGTGCCCACTTCATGGACCACCTGTGCCTCGTGAATGTGGGAAGCACAAAGAGGAGGATTGTCCACCCATCCCCAGATGAAAGCCTCTGTGAAGTGCAGGCGGGTCCCTTCCAGAGCTGCAGACCCTGGCCAGCAAAATGCCTGGAGTTTATATAGGAATTCCAAGGCACACCCTGAGGAAGTGCCTCCTGGGGCTCTAGCTCTAAGGGAATTTCTTTGCAGAAATGCAGGTGCACTGCTGGCCCTTAGAAACATTCAGAAAACAGAACAGGGAATCCCCTGGGCCACACTTCTGCCTGTGTTCCTCTGACCGTGGGTGGTGGAAACAGGGGCTGTAAAAGTCACTTCCTTCTCCCCACAAGGGTCCTCGCCATTTAGGGGGCATCACACTGCGCAAGCGGCTGTTGCTTACCTGGGTCACCCGGCCCCTAAATGTCACATTAGCAGAATCTGCTGGGGGGCTCCAGCATCCCTGCTTTGGCCTTTTGAAGTCCTGAGCCCTGCAGATGCCCCAATCAGGTCCTGCTGCTCAGAGGAGGCCCTGATTTATTTATTTGAGGCAGGGAGGCAGCGCATGAAATATGCAGGTTGATCAGAATCAATCATCAAGAGTGGGGAATGGTGTGGCTGGCACCCCACCGCACCCCGGCCACACAGCCTGCCCCTCTGACTCACATACGCTGCTGTATGCACCGTCCCATGGCACTGAAATAATACTCAGCTTCCCACCGACCGTAATCACCATAATCTCTCCCTGGGGGCAATGTTGGAGGCTCACAGGCGCTTCACAAGTTCCTGCATTTAATGCTCATGGCAAACCATGAATTGGGCATAATTCATCCTGGTCTAAAGAGGCAGGAGGAGCCTCAAATAGGTTAAGTACCCACTCAGAGCCAAGTGCTCAGCAGCGACCCAGTGGGCAACTGAACATGGGTCTCCTAGTTCTGAATTCAGCATACTTTTACCCCCATACTGAGCAGGGCTGCCAATCATTCAGCCCACATTTGTTGAGTGCCTACTGCATGCCAGGCTCAGCTCATGGTATTTCATGATAAAGCATCTCTCAAAAGCAGCACTGCAGGTGGTGGGAAGTTAAAGTCATTCCCGTGTCCTCAAGCCAGGTGGCCTTGGACATCCTGGATGCTGGAGAGATGTTGATACTAAATCCTCTAGTTTTATCATTTCATTCATTCATTCAACAAACATTACTGGACACCCATTACGTGCCAGGCTCTGGGCTAGGGGCCAGAGATACAGAGATTTTTTTTTTAAATCACAATTTCAGATCTTGCATGACTGTATCTGTAAACTGGGAACTTTAGAATTGATAAGAGGGTTAAAGACGAGAATATATGCCAAGTTCCTAGCTTGGAACCTAACTCACGGTAAGTGTCCAATAAATTACGGTTATTTTATTCATGATGAAAGTAACTGTGGGCTCTATGTGAAGTTCCCAAGAAATATCTTCATATTTTCTTCCTGCCATCTGTTCCTCACCATGGTTCCTCCACTTGGGAGGTGGCTTTCCCTCCCTTTAACAAGTTAACCTGTCCAAACCCTACCTGCCTCTTCCAGGAAGCCTTCCCTGAGTACTGTTCCTCCCCTCCCGGTGTCCTAGTTGCTGTGGACTCAGGGCTCTGTGCATGACAGCTCTTCACGTAGAAGCCATGTCCTGTGTGTGTCCAGGGCTTCTGATTCCTGCTGGCTAGCCTTGCTTCTGTTGTCCCAGGCAGTATAAGGTCTCATCCCCTGCACTCTGCTCAGGGTGCCTCCTGGGTCTGCAGATGGAAGGACTGTGTCCCCTGTATTCTTGCATTCACCCACAGTCCAGCCAGGTGGTAGCCATGATAGGCACACAGCCCTCTCAGCTTTTAACTCTTGGGCTTGTTAACTCCACCGTGCAAACAAGGTCAACCGGTCTATATGTGGATATGTCTATATCCAGTCTGTATCCAATTTTATTTGGGGTGGGTGTAATAACTGCCAGGGGTAGACTTGTCTTCTCACTTGGTTCTGGCTCCAAATTGGGGGAGCCAGAATGTGTCCTTTAGAATTTGATTGTTGTTGAAAACACGCACACTGAGACACAATGTATAACTCTGGGGTATGAAACAAAAGATGATCTTGGCTCAACAAAAATAAAAGATTCTATAAATGTACTCAATTCTAGGACCCACCCCCCAAACTCAGGCATAGAAAAGAGCTCTGAGCTAGAAGACAGGAGCCCCCAAGCTGGTGCTGGCTTTGCGGTCACTCTGAGTAGCCCTGGGGAAGTCCCATCCCCAACCTGGGTCTTGCTAAGTGAGGGGGCTGCATGGGAGATCTCTGTAGCCCCAAACTCCTGTTCAATGATGCTGCAATTGCTTGGAAAGGTCCTCCTCATTCCAAGCTAAAACCTGCTCTGTGTGACGTCCCCTCATGGGTCCTGGGTCTGTGCTGGGGCCCCAGATCACTTCGGCTCCTGCTCCTGACCATCCTTCAGACTTGGAATCTGGCAACCATGGGCCTCAACTCTGCTCTTCCCCAGGATGAACAGCCATTTCTCAGGAAGTGATTTTTCACTTCCACCCCATCCCAATCTGCTCCCTCTCCCTCTCCCAGCATTACCTCTCAGCAGCATAGAACAGAGACAGACTTTGTGCTCTACTGTCACAAACAATACGCTATTGCCATATTTTTCATAAGTTTAGTTAACTGACCTTTGTTTTGAGATTTTTAACAGGCTAGGTGGACATTGGCCAAATACCCTGGGGTACAGTAACTGCCAGGGGTAGATGTGTCCATCGATCTAGGCAAACTGGCCCAAGGACAAGAGCTAAGTACCTGAGGGGACCCAGGTCATATGCAATAGGCTGTCTGCCCCAGGAGCACTTTTTCTCTTCTTCTTGGCAACCTCCCTCAGGTCCTTCAGAATTCATCTTGGGGCCGGGTGTAGTGGCTCATGCCTGTAATCCCAGCACTTTGGGAGGCCGAGGTGGGCAGATCATGAGGTCAGGAGTTGAAGACCAGCCTGGCCAACATGGTGAAACCCCGTCTCTACTAAAAATACTAAAATTAGCCAGGCACGGTGGCACGTGCCTGTAATCTTGGCTATTTGGGAGGCTGAGGCAGGAGAATTGCTTGAACCTGGGACGGATGTTGCAGTGGGCTGAGATTGTGCCACTGTACTCCAGCCTGGGTGACAAAGCAAGACTCCATCTCAAAAAAAAAAAAAAAAAGAATTCATCTTGGATGCCACTGCTCTCAGATATCCTTCCTAGATTCTGCCAGGTAGACCTGAGTGCCCTCCTCTGAATGCCCACAGCTGCCTGTGCCATCACTTATCACGCATCACACTTTGCTGTTGTCTGTGTCTACTCCTCATTGCACTGGATGGGCTGTGGGCTCCCTGAGGGCAAGGATTGCATCTTACCCTACTCAGCCCCACCAACCCCCATACCCAACCAGTGCCAGCCAGCACCTGGCAGGTAGGGGGTCACCTGCTAGGAGTGACAGGAAATAATTGTTGAGAAACTTCAAAAGCACAAACCTTAGGACAAAAACCAAAAGGGTTTATCTACATCAAAATTAAGAACTTGAAGGCTCAACCAGGACTTGAAGGTAGTTTATAGACAAGTGACAGAATGGGAGAAGATACTTGCAAAGCCTAAAGCCAATAAGGGATTGATATCTAGCTTATGTAAGGAACTTCTGCAGACCAACAAGAAAAAGACAGTAACTTCAAAATAAAAATGGTCAAAGGGCTGGGTGCGGTGGCTCACACCTGTGATCTCAGCACTTTGGGAGGCTGAGACAGCAGGAGGATCGCTTCAGGCCACGAGTTTGAGACCTGCTTGGGCAACATAGCGAGACTCCCACCTCCATGAAAAAAAAAAAAAAAAAAACCTAGCCAGGCATGGTGGTGCACGCCTGTAGTTCAGCTACTTGGGAGGCTGAGGAAGGAGGATGGCTTACACCTGGGAGTTCAAGGCTGCAATGAGCTATGATTGTGCCACTGTAGTACTCCACCCCAGGCAACAGAGGGAGACCCTGCCTTTTTTTTTTTTAAAAAAAAAAGAAAAAAAGAAAAGAAAAAAGATCAAAGGATCAGAACAGACAATTAACAAATGACTAATAAGCACAGAAAGAAATATCCAAACTCATTAGGAATCAGAGAAACGATACGTAAAGTCACAATATGATATTACTTTATACTTTTAGACCGTCAAAAAATGAGGGATCCAGGAAATCCCAAATGTGGGTGGTAGGTAGGGACACAGGAATCCTCTGCCAGTGGGTGTGGATATGGGCAAGGCCATTCTGCAGAGCAACCTGGCAGGTTTTGGGCATGTTCAATGTGCACACAGATTCTGACTCAGCAATTCTGCTCTTGGAAACCTGTCCTAAGGAAATTCCCAGTTGGGTCCATAAGGGAACATATATAAGGACATGTATTATTTGTGAGGGTGGAGAGTTGAAAGTGACCTGGGTGTCCGTCCCAGGGGCCTGGATGGGTGAAGTGATGGATGCACCCCACCATGGCTCCTGCAGGGAGCAGGGAGGAGCCATGCCTAGAAGCACACCCAGGACCATGGAGATGTCTTTAGAAACAAAGTGTTGAGTGGAAAAAACAAAACAGAACAGAAAAGATACCTAAGCCAGTGGCACTGATGTACGGAGCAACACGCATCTTGCAAGCACACACACAAACACAATATGGGGTGTTTGCCTTTCCTTGGGGGAGGTAGGAGTGGGATATGGGAATAAAGGAGGGAAATAAGGGGGATAAATGGACACACAAGAGGGACTTTCATGGACCAACGACAATGACTGCCCATGAAATGAGGTGTGCGAATTGTGTCCTAAAGAAGCGCGACTGCACTTTTCTCAAGAAATTCCTCGGGGGAGAGTGTAAATCTGGGGTCACTGTTAAGAGTGCCCAAGAGAGAAGGAAGCCAACAGTTGTTATGACCCTTCTCTGTGCCAGTCCCCGAGACAGGAACATCACAGCCTCACATCATCAGGTTCTCAGTCACTCTCAAGGCAAGGAAAATGATCATCTTTTATTTATTTACTTATTTTTAACTGAAATGAAGGCTCAAAGAGACTAAGCTTCTTTGCCTATCTGTCAATGATCAGGCATGTCTGCTTCAAGCCTATATACTTTCCACATGAGAGGGAATGAGTTCCCCATCACTGGAGGCATTCAAGCAGTGGGAATGTTGTATAAGAGAATCAGGGCTCCCTTCAACATGGAGAGTCGATGGCTCAATGAAACCCAATACCTGTAAAATATGCTGTCTTTTGGGCCACCTTTCTTAGGCTCCCTGAAAGGCAAATCCTGGAACATGAGGGCTGGGAGGTGTCGAGGCTAGGGTCAAGCTGGAAAAGAGTCCACATTTCCGTGTGTCCCCTGGTTCCTGCTTGTCCACAACCCTGCTGGTATATCCTGAAGGATTATGGACTATGACTCCACTCTTTAATTATATCAAGTTGAGTGACAGTCTGACGAAATGGCCTTTCCAGACCCATGACTTGGTGAAGCGAGCTACAATTGCAGGCCTTGACAGAGGAAAAGGTTATTAAAAATCAGCCTCAAGAGTCTCAAAGTAGGGTCAAACTAGCCCTGAAAGTATTCTAGTAGGTTCTGGGAAATAATCTTCCTGCTTTCATAAGCACTGGCATTCGGCCAGAGAGATTATGAAGCCCTGGAGGATCGGGGACTGTATCTTATTCAACTTGGTTTTCTCCAGAGGACTTGGTAAAGCGCCTGGCAGATGCTCAGGAAATGCGCACTGAATACAACCGTATCTGTTACCCTGAAGACCAAATGGTAATTAATGTCTGCAATTGGGAAGGACAAGTCTCCCTTTCACTAGGTACGTTCTGAATGACAATTATGTCGTTAGAGTGAAGGAAGACCCCTTCCCTTCAAATCAGGTGCCAAAATATAAAACTCCAAAGCCTGAGCCCTTTATGTTGCATAGAAGCAGTGTGAAATTCAAGCACATTATCATTCCCCGAGATTCTTACAAATAGGCCTAATGAAGGCAGGGTCGGTGAGTTGGAGCGGCAGATGCTGAGTTTTCTCTAAGAACAGCATAAACAAGGCTCTAATCACGGCTTCACTCAACTTCCTTCCCTGCTGCAAATTCAGAGCCATGTTTAGACTTCGGCAGTAACATGGATACTTTTTTTCTCTTAAGGGGAAAAAAGCCAATTCTCTAGTATTCATCCTCATCTACACGTGGTGTCGTGAAAATCAGCCATGGCATCAGGGAGGAGCATGGAATCTGGAGATGAAAGGGGTTCAGGCCTGAGGTGTGTGCCCAACAGGATGCTAATACCTGCCTTACCTACGGCCAAGGGTGGCTCCCTAAGAATAGCACCTGCCTGAGATGAGGGGAAGAAGGCATGCAGTTTATTTGGAAGGTGATCCTAGGATGCGCTGTTAGTGGTGTGGGGAAGTGAGGCAGGGAAGGGAGCCAGGACAAGGTGCATGAGTGAGCAGGTTTCTTTGTGGGCAACCGAGGCTCAGTCCTACTGTGGGAGCTCTGGGAAAAGAGCCAAACACACCTGGGAGTTGCCTCACCCAAGGGGAAAGGATGCTGGGGTATTTATCCTCCCCTTCTCATCCATCACTGACACAGGGCTGCTCCTGGAGGCGTTAACTCCCTGGATGGCTCATCGCACAGCTTGGACGGCCTATTCAATAATCCATCCTGGTAGATAAGGCACCTCTGAAACCCTTTACATTTGGAAAACCAACTGTTGTGTTGATACGCATATGCCCCCTGCATTCTGGTGGCTCATTTCAGTCCTAAAATAACACAAGGTCCCTCTATTGGAGCAAGAGGATCAATGTCTGTTTAAAAAAACATGTAGGCCAGGCGCAGTGGCTCACGCCTGTAATCTCAGCACTTTGGGAGGCCGAGGTGGGCAGACTGCGAGGTCAGGAGTTCGAGACCAGCCTGGCCAATATGGTGAAACCCCATCTCTACTAAAAATACAAAAATTAGCTGGGCATGGTGGCACGAGCCTGTAGTCCCAGCTACTCGGGAGGCTGAGGCAGAAGAATCACTCGAACCCAGGAGGCAGAGGTTGCAGTGAGCCGAGATTGTGCCACTGCACTCCAGCCTGGGTGACACAGTGAGACTCCGTCTCAAAAAAAAAAAAAAAAAAAAAAATCATGTAAACAGGAGCATCTGGCCTTTATTGAAGGCCCAGCTGTGACCCTCAAGAAAAGCTGGACACAAATGCAGAGAGGGTGAGGGGAGCACACTTGTGCCTGGGTGTCCGTGGGAATGTGCAGAAGAGCAAGCTGAGGTCCAGTCCCTGCTCTGCCACTAGCCAGCTGTGTGTCCCTGGGAGACACTACTCATCCCTGGACCTCAGTTTCCCCATTTATACCATGAATTCTGGAATGAGATCATCGCTAAGGCCCTGCCTTGTATCACCTCCTATACATCACTAAGTGCAGGGAGCCGCTATTAGGGGTAAATGGCAGACAAAAAAGCAGCCAGGGGGTTTCAGCACTTCAGGGAAACCTGAATTTGCCCCAGAAAGGTGTCATAATGTTGACAAGGTGCTAATCATAATTGCTACTTACTTGCTGAGAAAAAAAAAAATATATATATATATACATATATATAAATATATTGTATGTATAGTTAAATATACACATACTTTCTCATTTAGTTTTTCCCATATTCCATGAAGGTAGTTAGGATTATACTCCTATTTTACAGATGAGGACAATCAAGGCTCAGAGAGGCGAAGTCGCTTGCCTGAAATTCTACAGTGAGGAAGTGACTGGATCTCGGGTGGGTCGACCCACAAAGCGCAAGCTCTGAACTGCTGTTTGCTGTACTGCCTTCCTTATAAATCCAGATATGCCTAAATAGTGACTGAAGCTGGTGTTTAAACCTAACGTATGAAAAAAAAAAGGCAATACAATTGGCATGCACTGGTAGCTGTGATCAGCCAATCCTTATTTTACAAAATACTTTCTTAGAATGATATAATTTTGAGAACTGGAAATGAGACAAGAGAATTTAGTTGCAATCACTCAAAAAAAAAAAAAGTAAGTATCTTTGCCAAGATGCTTACTTTGTTCAACCAATGAAGAAGTAAAATTTAACAAATGGAAAAATAATTACGTTTGCCTAAAATTACATCTTTTGTGCACGCCAGAGAGCTGACACGCGTTTCAATTACCTGCCACAGAAAGACGAATGGGTATGTCTACAAGATTGCATTACAGAGCGATAGCGCTGAAGAACACCTCTCCTGATTGATCTGAATCCTGGTGGGATTTGTCTGAATGAATCTGAATAACTCACTTTAATTTCTTGCTTTCCCCTGGATGGCGCTGGGATCTGCTCAAAGTGAGTGGGCACAGCAGGCACCACTCTTGTTTCTGGGTTTTCCAGAAACACTCGGCTGCTCAAGAACACTGTATTGATGAGAGGTTCATCTAGTCGTTTTGGCTAATCACCCCGCTAATGGCTGTACTGGTCTGCCTCAAGGAATGCCCAGCCCTGTTCCTCAAGGATGCTCCTCACATGGCCCTTGTCTGCACCTCCGTTTTTCCCTCATCACACAAAGAAATTGGTCTGGATGGTTTCTGAGGCCCTTCTGACAGCAACAGAAAGTTCAACGCATGACCCGGTTTCTTCAAAAAATAAATGTTCTGTAAAAAGTGGTGGGTTATAATAGATGAAAAGAGACTAAAGAGATACTTCAAGCAGATGCAATGGGTGGAATTTGTGTGGATTTTCCAACAAATCATCTGTGAAGACATCGTTGAGATGATCAGGGGATCCACACAGACTGGGAAATTAAACGATATTAAGAATTGTTTAATGTTTTAGGTGTGATAATAGTACCGTGATTATATTATAAAACCTCCCTATCCAAAAAAATGCATACTGAAGTATTTATAGAATGAGATGAGATCGTGTCTAGGAGCTGCTTTAAAACACTACAGCAAAAAAAGGGGGGATGGGGTGAGTCAAAATGAAAGAAGATTGGCAAAATGTCGATAATGATTGAAACTGCCTATTGGGCACATGGGGGTTCATGATGCTGTTCTCTCTACTTTAGAGTCTGTTTGAACATCTCTAAAATCAAAACCAAAAACAGGTGGGTGCCACTGTTGCATGTCTGTGGTCCCAGCTACTTAGGAGGCTGAGGTGGGAGGACTGCTTGGGCCCAGGAGTTCGAGGCTGCAGTATGCTATGAACGCATCTGTGGATTGCCACTGCACTCCAGCCAGGGCAACATACTGAGACCCTTTCTCTACAAAAAACACCCCAAACCCCACAACAATGCAAAGGTCCTCAGAATACTAACTTAATCCCCACCACTCATAATCTCATAAACCTTTTAGAGTCATGCGGGAAGGCAGAATAGGCCAGGGAAGCACAGTTATCCCTAGGGATCCATGGAGGATTGGTTCCAGGATCCCTTGAGGATTCCAAAATCCCCCAACGACCAAGTCCCTGATATAAAATGGGGTAGTATTTGCCTATACACTACACACATCCTCCCATATACTTTAAATCATCTCTAGATTTCTTACAATGCCTAATAAAATGTAAATAGTTGTTATACTCTATTGTTTAGGGAATAACGACAAGAAAAAAAAGTCTGTATGTATTTGGTACAGACGGAATCATCCATTTTTTTCCTGAATAGTTTCAGTCTTCAGCTGGCTGAATCAACAGACGTGGAACCCATGGAGATGGAGGGCTGATCATGATGCGGCTGAGAAAAAAATATTCCAAATAGGTTGAAACTAATGTTTTCAGAAAAGTGTTTTCAATTGGCTCTGCTTTCTTTTATCTGGAACATCACACTTGCATTCCTTTTGATGTATTATATTGCATAAAACAACATTCCTGAATCTAAATTTTATCAGCTAGAAAGAATAAGCATCAAAATGCCTACCTTGAAATTGAGTAAATTTAATGGTCCCCATTCTCTCCCCATTCCGGAATACAACTTGACCCTAAAAACAAAACAAAACAAATCAAACAAGAATAAAAGAGAAATGCCACATTAGCCCAAACGCCACTGATCTCACAGCAATTCATTAACTGTACAATGCGATTATTAATACTGGAGGAAAAACAGATTCCCGCTGGACCACAGATGAAAATCAAACTAATTGTTTTTAAATTGGTTGTGACTTTATCTGGTTAATTTGAGGAGAACAAAATCAATAATGGAACTAACACATGTGAATTGAAGCCAAGATAAGCATCATCATGATCACCATGACTATTAATTAAACACCCACGTGTCCGTGCTATAATGGGGACGACGTCTTCTGGGGTGCTGGAAAGATGACGGCAAAGGTGAGGCCCTTTGGGCCCGGCCCTGACTCCTCTCCCTGTGCCCCACCCATAAAGATACGGGGTATTGCTGAGTCTGCTTGGCTTCAGGACCAGAAGGGTGCTAGAGGTCTGTTGGTATTTCTTATTAGGAATAGAGAATGTTTTTCTAAGTTTTTCCTGAATGGTGACGTCAGTCCCAATTATAACCAAGCTATGGTGCAGCAAAAAACTAAGCTTCTTGAGCCAGCGAGACCTGACTAGTGTCACAGGCAGCTGAGTGCCCCTCATTAGGGACCTTGGGGGCTAAACATAGCGTTATCTCCTGCATCTGCCCTGCTGGCTTCCAAATGCTTGGCTAAATATATCAGGAATTTAGAGATGGAATGTCATCTCTTCTTTCCGATTTATGGCCCACCTAAAATTCTGCAGCCATACGAGGAAATTGACACACACTATATCACTGAATCTTCATGCCAAACGTAAGTGATAAGGGGATGACCCCCATTTTGCAGATCAAGAAACTGAAACTGAGAGAGGTTATGGACTTCACACAAGGTCACTGTAAGTGAGGCTGCTGGGATTCAAATGCAGGTTTAATTTTAATGTCCATGCTACTTCACTGTGGCATGTTGCTCTTGATCGAGAAATAAGTTTCTTCCTGTCTTTTCATTATTGTGAAATTAGGAAAAGAAATGGTTTTAAAGGTATCCTGCTTTTCTCTCACTGTTATGCTTTTGTGTCATCAGGCAACAGCACAGACAATACTCTGGGTTCCACTGAAGTCTTGGGAGAAAACCCCAGGAAGCATTTTTCCTTAGGCAGAAACCTAAAGACTGAAGCCCTGCAGCTTCCAGAATAAAGGGGGATCGCTCAGCCTGATCCCAGAACGAGAAACACCTTCCAAGGCCACCTGGACACCTTTTTGAAACCCTGAAGACAGCTGTGAGTAGTATCAGTTTGAAACTAATGCCCACCGAATTCTATATTCAGGTGACGGTAAGCAACTCCCTGGAGTGTGAAAACACTTCAACCAAGGTGAGACAGGAGCTGTGATTTTTATTTCGAGGGACAATTGAAAATCACAAAACACCTTCTAAAAGGATCATTTCTATGTAAATGGACCACTTTGCCTGAGTGGGAAAGGCTGTCCACAAGGAGAAATTTTTTTTTTGTCTGACAGGATGGGGATCTAATTTACCAATCTTCTGCCAAGCTTTGAAGAATTCCACAGGTGTCTAGATTTAAAATGCGCACAAATTCTGCAGACTCTTTATTAGTGAAATTACAAAGTGTGTGGAATGGTATTCAAAGCTTCCATGGAATGATACAGGAGTGGGGGTGAGAAGAGCCTTCCTTTACTTTGTGAACAAAACTAGTCCACCTTTGAAGCAAGATCTGTCATATTTTATTTTACTAAATATAACTATTTTGTACTAACAGGAACTCCTCCCATCTCTTTGATTTCTCCTTAATTTCTCAGGTGGTACAGTGGAAGTAGGCCAGCGTGTCTCACAAACTGGGTTCAGTCCTCTCTCAGGCAAGTTCCAGAACATCTCTGAATTATGGACCAAGCACAGGTCCTGGTACAGGACAGGTGCTCAGCAAATGGCAGTAGTAATTTTTATTTAAACATGTTTAATAGTGGGGAGCTGAAATCAAAAGATGTTAAGCACCAGAGAGCTTTCCAGCCCTTGGGAAGCGAGTTTCAACTCTCAGGTGATTTCAGCTGACAAAGTGGAAACCACTGGGCCCCCAGCCACGATGTCTTCACCTCCCAGAATCATCAGCCCCCAAATGACTGACTTCCCAAACAACACGAGACACTGTGCATTCTGCCTACCGATGAGAGAAAGTAGAGGGCTTCTGTGACTGGGGTGACGAAGTGCTGATGGAGACACGGATGTGTAACTGACTATGTTGAGGGTCTGCATCAGGGTCACCATGGCATCTGTTGGGTTTGACTGGTGAAGCCATCCCTGCTACCCTAAGTATTGCCGACTGGATAGGGGACCACTGTGCCAGCCAAGACAGCCTTGACAAGACCAGGTATGAGGGAGGCCACAGGCCAGTAAGGTGGTTCTCAAGAAGTTCTGCCCAATAGGTGTCCCCCTTATTAAAAGGTGGTCAATTTACAACATTCCAAAAATATTTACCTACTGCGTGCTCGATACCCTTCTAGGGACTGATGCCTGCTCTTGGAGAGCTTTTTATTTGATTAGGAGGGATAGCAGAAACAAGTCCTCCAATGCTTAAGAAATTTCAGTTAGTGATGAATGCTATGAGAAGATCAAAAGGGTGATGGGAAAAGGAAGTCTTTTTTTATTTTTTATTTTTTTGAGACAGGGTCTCGCTCTGTTATCCAGCCTGGAGTGCAGTTGTGCGATCTTGGCTTACTGCAGCCTCCACCTTCTGGGTTCAGGCGACCCTCCTGCCTCAGCCTGCGATTACAGGCACACACATCATTACACCCAGGTAATTTACTAGGGGAGCTGCTTTAGTTGGGTAGTTAGGGAAGACTCCGCTCAAGACGTTATAAGAAAGCTGAGACCTATCTGGAAAGAAGGAAATATTCTAGCCAGAGGCAAAAGCCAGGGCCAAGTCCCTCAGGTGGGGAAGAGCTTGGAATGTTCAAGGAACAGAAAAGGCCAGCATGGCCGGAACACAGTGAGGGAGGCAGGGTTGTGGCTGGGCGGTGGCAGATGCATAGGTGGACAGGGGCCAGGTCACATTGCCCCCAGAGACCATGACAAAGGGTCTGGACATGACTCTAATGAACAGCGATGAGGGTGGGGAGGTGAAGCGGAGCAGCCTGTGATGTGATTTCAGGTTGGAGAAGATTGCACTGTCTGTGGGGTACAGAATGGATGGTAGTGTGGCAAACGTGGAAGCAGAGACTCTGGAAGCTCTGGCTCAGTAATCCAGGTGTGAGAAGATGGTGGTTTCAGTGAGGCTGGTGGCCAGACTCTGTCCCTCCACAGCTCAGACTGCATGGCAAATGTAGCTAAGCACCGAGCCCAGGGCAGTGCCTGTCTTCCGTTTGACTCCTCTTATCCTGTGTGGTGGATGCCAGGGGTGCGCCCAGACACCCCACCCAGGATGGAGGCCCTCCTCCCCAGCGGCTAGCATCTGGCTCCTGTTGAGATGCCTTGCACCCAATCAGAGCTATGTTAGTTCAGGTTATGCCCCCTCCCTGGGGGCAACCTGCAGCTAGCAGTCAGTGTGAAGGGTCATGGATCTAGCCCTGCTGCCTCAATTCAGGACACCCGTGAAGGACCATGGAATCCCGAGGTCCCCTGGGATTGGCTGAGCTCATGATTGCCACTGCATCACATTTTGACTTCTCCCGCTGCCCAGCGCTACTTGGCTTCCTCCCTTCCAGCTTCTGTTCCTGAAAACATATCCTGATAAACTTCCTGTATGCAAATCTTTGTCTCAGAGCCTGTTTTCTGGGTAACCCTGTCTCAGACACCCTGTCATCAAAGGTCGCTGGGGCTGGCTCTTTCTTGCCACCTGAAGGAGCTGAGCAACAGGGCATGGTGGGAACAGATGGGGCAATGCTGCCACTAGATGCTTTCAGAGCCACCGTGGCCTGCAGTTCAGCCAGGGGAGCCAGGCCAGCTTCAATTCCTAACACCCCAGCTTGAGCTGGAATTTTTTTTTTTGGTTTCCCTCCCACAAAGGTTGCACTTCTCCCAGCACATGTAGTCTTTATGTAGAGATAAATATCATGACTCTCCTTAAGCTTTCGTCTTGTGCAATTCCAGGGCTGTAACAGAATCATCACATTCATTTGAGACCAATCCAGGTGATGAGTTAAATTCTAAGGCAAGGGAGTTTGGTAACTCTGGCCGGGGTGGGGGCTGATAACTGTCTGGTGGCTCACAGTTCACACTCACTCTTCTACACTCTCCTCCTTGTGGCAGGGACTGGAAGCCCTGAAACTACATTTCCCAGAATCGCCTGCCAGCTGGTTTCCATTTAGGGAAGCGGTCATGGGAGATTAGAAAGAACGCATAAGCATGCATGAGGGAAAAGCTTTTTTTTTTTTTTTTTTTCTTCCTCTGCTCTGGTTGCAGCAAGGGGAGCTACGAGTAACTGCAGGTGTCTGTGGGGCCCAGCAGCTTCTGATTCCTGAACCGTTGGAGTGTGGGGGCCCCTGGCTGCATGCTCAGTGGCCAGAGATAGGGCCCCAAAAGTAGCAGAAACAGCAGCAGCAGGAGCCTCGGAGGCCTGTCTACCTGGGCTTTCCCTCCATTATTTCATTTGTATTCCAAATCTGCTCTGTGGTCATTTTTATAAATTCCCTGGAAGTAAGATCTGGTATCAATCAACATCCAGTCAAGAAAACAAAAACCACTTCAGGCATTTCAGGGGCAATGGCAACATCACTTTCCCTTTCATTCTTCCTGCCCAAGGGGCATGGCAATTTTCTGAAGAACTGTATCTGCCACAACAGTCTCTACCTGTTTTCCTCCACCATCCCTTCCAACAAAGTTGGAACCAGTTCCTGTATGAAATCTCCCTCTGAAATGACTGAAGTGGTTTGTGTTTTCTCCACTGGATGGTGATTGATAATGGATTCTAACTTCCAAGGAGTTTATAAGAATGACCACAGAGCAGATTTGGAATACAAATAAAATCACAGAAGGGAAAGTTCCAAGTGGATAACTTATAAGGATTTTTTTTCCCCCTGAAAGAGATGTTGCTAACGTCAAAGAAAGCAGTCTGTTTCATAAAAATCAATCCAAACTAATAGTTCAGGTTTAATTGGGAGCCATAAAGCTGCATTTTCTCCTTCAGCGAAATCTTCAGAATGTATAGGGTAACTTACGGATAAAACCCTAAGTTTTGGCGTTTGCCAACAAGAGTAAATATTGCCATCCATGTGAGCTTGGATGCTCATTGAGCGTTTCTGAGCATCAGTTCTTCTACTTGAAAAATAGTAAGAACAATACAAATTTCTCAGGGTTGTTTCTGAGAATTAAAGAAGATAATTATGAAATGAGAATAGCCAGGGATGGGGCACAGCAAGGGGTAACTTATTGTAAAGGGTAACTGTTATTGTAATGCCTTGAGTTAGTAAAATCCCATTTTTTTTTTGTTTTGTTTTGAGACAGGGTATTGCTCTGCTGCCCAGGCTAGAGAGTAGTGGTACCATCATAGCTCACTGAAACCTCGAGCTCCTGGGCTCGAGTGATCCTTCCACCTCAGCCTCCCAAGTAGCTGGGACCATAGGTGCTTGTCACCACAACCAGCTAATTTTTAAAACAATTTATTTGTTGTTGAGATAGGGGTCTCAGTATGTTGCCCAAGCAGGTCTCAAACTCCCGGCCTCAAATGATCATCCCACCTCGGCTCCCCTGAAAAGTGCTGGGATTATAGTTGTGAACCACTGCACCCGGCTGCAAAATCCCATCTGATGTCAGTTCAGAATCCTCAGAAAAGTTAGTGGGGAGTAAAATGGACACTAAGGATTCTAGAAGCCAGTAGGATTTAACAGCCTCCTCTTAGAAAAACTAATTCTCTGTTTTCATTGTTCATCTTTAATACTTAACTACTAAGCATGAGTAAAATTCACTCCAACAAGTTTATGAGTCTTATAGGTTAAGCCCTTTGTTGGGGCCTCTCTTTTTTCCTTCTTAAATTTCACAGTGGAAGGCAGAGATACTCTCCCTGAGAACAAGATCTGGTGTAGGGTCAGGGAGGCAAGAAGGGGAGCTTTCATGCTTCAGCCAGTGTTACAGGCAACGCCTGGGCAGGGGCGTGAAGCTACTCTGAGTGAAGACTCGCTGGGCTCAGCCTAATATTCTGGAGCCCTGGGCCTACTGAGGGACAGTCTCTGCAGATCACAGTGTACTTAGGGAAGGATTTTCTTCCTAAATATGACTCTAGACTGCACTCTTATCTCCGGGTTGTCGAGTGTGCCTTTGGGAGGTGTGAGCATGCATCCTCACTGAGGATTTGACTTGTGCTGTGAGAAATAAGATCTGTCCTGACACATCACACTGGCAGGAAAATGTCTTAAGTTAATGGAGGTTGAAGGGTGTTAGGGCTCTGAAAACAATACTCCAAAAGGAAGGCCTCAGAAGTCTCCTCAGAAGCCAAAGTTTTTCTCTGACCTTCTCCTGGCCTCCTGTCCCTCAGTCCCTTGCTCCTCTGGGGCCAATCACAGAAACTCCAATCCCTCTTCCCCAAAGCGGGTCAGAGAAACTAGCCATAAAATGTAAAATATTACGCCAGTGTTCCCTCCAAGTTTCTGTGTAAAAACTGGCTATGAAGAAATCATGTAACTTAGCTTATTTGACTGTAGGTCATGCGACCCCCATTCCGGAGAGAGCCCTGCGCTTCCAGAAGGAAGGAATGAGTGCTCAGAGAGGTCAAGAAGAACCTAGACAGACAGGCCTTGCTGGGTTCCCCACTCAGTCTATCAGCATTGGATCAGAGCCTTTTAGTCCAATCACATTCCTACGCGGCTGTCTAGACTTTATTGAATCTAAGCATAAAAATAGACAATTTCCCCTGTATCTCTGGGTCTTCATTCTGAAGGCTCCCATGTATATATATTAAATACATGTGAATGCCTTTTCCCCAATTGGAAGTTGATTTTCCAGTGAACCTTCAGACAGCCAAGGGGAAAGCTCTCCTAAGGCCCCTACAAAGACCATGGGGGACCCTGGTAAGTTCTGTTGCAGGGGCCAGCAGATCAATGTCTGTGTGAGGGATCCAAGCCCATCGTGGACTGTTCTGCTGCCAGCCCTCCTCCCAGGACAGCACTGGTCTCAAAGAAACAATGCAGACTTTGAGAAAACACTGGGGTTAAATTGCTTGTCAGGGGTTGCATAAAGGGTGGAGATCTGCATGACACAGGCTTGAAGGAGAAGGTGCCCTCTGTTTCCACAGGGATGGCAGGATATAAAAGAGAGAGAGAGAAAAATAATTGAGTATATCCACCCACATGTTCTGTAAAGTTTAAAAAATATTCTTTTTTTTTTCTTTATGTCCCCTTGAGCTATAGAAGAGGCCACATTTTGTACACAATTTAAAATATTTTCTTACACCAAAAATTCTTTTGTTAGACACAAGCCTTCAGGAATGTTTGATGCACTCATAGAGCCTAGAGCAGTAGGTTTGCAGGGAACTGAAAGAAGGAGCAGAATGGGAGGTGGGGTCTGTCCCACTGCCAGCCTTCGGCGGGTGGACAATAAGGATGCAGGGGCATCTTTCTGAGGGACCATAACCAGACGGCTCAGAGGGTGCAAGTAGTGACCCTCCACAAAGCATGTGGTGGCCTAAGGTGGGGCTGTGTGCGGTGGAGGGAAGCGGGGACCTAGAGAAGATGGCTGGGTGGATGGCCCAGGAAGGGTGGAGCAACTCCCTCTCTTTCCTTCCACTTATTATAATAAGAGAGTCAGGCTTATTTAGAACAACAAAATATCAGGTGTAAATGAGTGTCTAAGAAGTACGGGAAAAGTGAAGTAAATTTTAATACAGACACATGATGAAATATTAGGATACGTGCATTCAATCAGCAAGTCCTGTTGGGCACCTATGATGTGCCAGACAGGCACCAGATCAAACAGTGAGCAAAATCAACATGGTCCTAGATTGCATGAAGTGTAGGGTCTGGTGGAAGACAGAGACATTAAGCAATAAACACACGGATAAATAGAGGATTACAAACTGTGATCAGTGACATAAAGGAAAAGAGCAGGGCTCCAAAAGAGAAAACTACAGGAAGACCCTAATTTAGACTGGAGGCCAAGGAGGGCCTTTCCAGGAAGGTGGCATTTGCACTGAAACCTGAAGGAGCTGGCTGAGCCGAGAGCAAGGGGGAGAATATCCTGGAAGGAGGAAATTGCAAGTGCAAAGGTCCTGAGGCAGGAAAGAGATTGGGAAATCCAAGGACCTGAAACAGTGCCGATAAAGCTGTAAATGGTCATTGAAGAGCAGCTGAGCAAGGAATGTGACCGGCAAGGTGGACAGGTGCAAGGCCACGCAGAACCTTACCAGCTATGCCAAGGATGCTGAGCTTCATTTTGAATGCAAGAGGAGCAACTGAAGGGTTTTAATGAGGGGGTGACTTGATCTAAGTCCTATAGACTTAAGTATTATATTATAAAAGTTATCAAAGGTTAGAACAAGTGATATTCCAATTGTGCCAGTCGCTGGCTAGCTGTTGACCAAATTCATTTCCTTTTCCTCCTAGGCACATGGCCAGACTAGGTTTTCCAGGCTTCCTGACGGTTGGGTGCGGCCATGTGACAGTCCTACCAATGGAATGTGGGTGGGAGGGACATGGTACTCCAGGCCTGGACCATGAAAACCTCTCACAAGTTCCTGATCCTTCATGCTTCCCCGTTTTCCCCCCTGTCAACCAGATTGATAGGATCTATCGGAGAACCCTGAGGCCTAAGGAACAGTGGGGACATGAGACAGAGGAGCTTGGGTCCACGAATGATCACGTGGAAAGGCTAACAACCAGAAGGACCCACTTTGGACTTTATATAAGAGATAAATAAAATTTTACTGTGTTAGTCCACCAAGATTCTCAGATAACTCGGTTACAGCAGCTAGTGTTATTTCTCCTAATACTATAATGAATTAAAAAAGTAAAAAACAAAACAAAGGATAAAAATTGTATATACAGTATACTCGCAATTACGTAAAAATTACCCCCACAAAGTAAAAACGTTAACACTGGTTGGTCCCGGGAGTGTGATTATCGCTTTTTATTTTTACTTTTTAATACTTTACCTATATTCTATAATAAATGGGTATTATTTTAATAACAAGAAAACTTTATTAAAAACTTTTTAAAAAGATGTGATAAGGAGGCACATTTTACCGGCAAAAATAGCAATATCATCAGCAATAAACTAATACTCCCTCTTGAAATAGATTAATTTTTTTACTATTTTACTAATAATTTTACAGATTAATTTATTTACTGTTTTGTCTGTGCAAACGTAAGCCCGTTTCCCTCTCAAAGTCGAATAACAAAGAGAGCAATGAACAAGTTCAGATTCAGGCTGAACTTGGCCATTTTCTGGGAAGGGAAGCTGGGGCAAGCGCCTTTTCATCTCTGTGCTCAGGCTTCCCTCGGCAAAACGTGCAGAGATGATATTGTGCAAGCTACTTTTAGCTTTGCTGAAACATTTGTGTGCGTTATTTAAGATTTTTTTCCCCTGGGGTTCTCCTTTATTAATAGATATTCAACAACACCCTCAATGGAATGAGGTATGTATGATGATCTCCATTTTACAGATGAGGAAACTGGAAACTGAGAGCCTGAGAGGTCAGGACTTTGCCTAGGGTCACATAACGAGTAGGCAAAAGGACTGGGACCCACCTCAGTTGTGTCAACTTTAAGCTCATGCTTCTAACAACATGCCATTCTCCCTCCTGTTTGCGAGAAGGAGTCATTGATCAGAAAATGAGCTCTCTGCAGGGGACTGGAGTAAGTACCACGTGACCTTGGGCTAGAGGGATGGTGTGTGGGTGTAGTAGGAGTAGGCAGAGGAGGAGGAAAGATAGGTAGTCAGGGATGTGTTGGTTAATGTTTAACAGCTGGCTTTTTGGGGAGAAGAAAAAAGAGCTCTGATGTGTAGTGTTTGCCAATTTCCGTGGTGTAAATACACCCACCATGGTAGATTTCAAGCTATCAATGATTTAACAGCTGGCTCACAAATTCCTGATAATTTAACAACTGGCTCTCAGCTCTCTCTGGAGCCTGCAGGAGCTGGCTCCAGCACACCCATAACCAAGCCAGTCCTCTCTGGCTTCCAAATTAAGATTGTGAATGCAAAATGCCCTGTTTTTACCTGCACAACTGGGTGATAATCTCTTCCCAGAAACAAGCGAGGAGGCCACAAATCAGCATGGGACTAGCTGGAGAGAAGGGGCTTGTGCCAAATATTTACCTACTGTTTCTCAGCTCCCAAGCCTGCCCTCTCTATCCTGCTCTGTGATGCTAGGGCCAGGGCTCCACAAGCCACATCTCCCAGACTCTGTCCTGTTAGCTTCCGCCAACAGGAGGCTCTGAGGTAGAGTGGAAGGGGATGATGGGGACTCCCTGCTCTCCTGTTCCTGTCAGGCAGGGTCCTGCCTCTAGCTTCTTTCTGCGCTTTCAGCACCAGCCCTGCTATGTCCCTTTGAGGGGCCATCAGACATCGGGCAGACATGCCCCTCTTCAGACATCAGAATACTAGCTGTGCAGGGCTTCTCCTCTGAGCTCCTGGGTTCTGAAAAGCTCATCTCTGTCCTTTCATTTTCCTAGCCCTAGGGGCAGTAGCTGTTTCTTTCTGCAGCTGGTATCCGTTGACTGCTTCAGTGCTCCTTCTGTACTCCTTCCTCCTCCCATCACCTATTAAACAATTCCTTGTATTAAATCCCCTCTGTTTGAAATGCCTAGAGTGGCTTCTGTTTTTCAGACTGGACTCCTCCTCTCCATCTACCATGTGGTTTTGGGACTTGGTCCTCCAAGCACAAGCCTCCTATGTTAGGTCCCAATTAAAGTGGCCTCCCCTGTTCATGTCCTCTTTGGCAACGGCAATGCTCCCGGCTCCTTCCTCCACACCCTGAGCTGAATATGGTAATTGCCTCCTGCTGGATGAAGCTTCCGAGGGCAGGAAAGTGCTCTTTCCTCTTCAAGGGCTGGGAAGCAGCAGGATGCAGGACTATTGGTTACGTTGCACTGAGTTGAGTTGAGTTGAATGGACTGGGTTCCCCAGTGTTGGTGGGCCAAGGAGCAGGATCTCTCAGGAAGAGCTACGAAGGAGAGAGAATGGACACTGGCCAAGAGCATTTGCTCAGTTAGCTCCCCAGGGTAAGAGGACTGAGAGACATGCAGAGTGGCCCAAGGTGGAGGAGCTACTTGTCACAGAGGCCTGAAGGTGATCACAGGTTGGGAGATCAAGATGCCCTGGAGGCTGCTGGGCCCTCGGGACCTGCATCCCATGGGCCAAATGATGTTGGCTAACACTATTTCTTTACAATTAAACCAGAAAGGGCTTGGGGCTTACAGTGAGTAGTTCGGGGTTCTAGTCCCAGTTCTGTCCCCAACTCCATGTGTATTCATAATTGTGTTCCTTCCCTTCTCTGGGCCCCAGTTTCCTCATTGATAAAATGAGGGGACAACTGGCCACATACAATGTTTGTTGAGTGCCTGCTCTGGGACACAGCATGCTAGACCCTGCAGTGTTACAATGAAAAAGACAAAATCGTTGTCTTCTAGAAGCTCCCAGTCTAACAGAGATGACAGAATTTTTTTGTGTAAGACTATTATAAGGTAATGTGAGTTGCTAGGAGAGAGTGGGTACAGAGGGCTGGCAGCACAAAGGAAGGGCACCTCTCTTTGAGGGGGTGGCTTAGGGGTACAGAGAAGAATGACCATGTTACCCAGGCAAAGAAGATGGGAGAGGAAATGTTCTAGGCAGAGGGAACAGTGCATGCAAAGCCTAGAGGCAAGAGACAGTGTGGCTCTTTGGAGGAGTAGAAAGGAGGGTGAGGTTGCTGTGGGTGGTGTGCATGGGGTGGAGGGCTGGTGGGAGGCAGAGAATGCAGGAGCCACATCAGGCAGGGCTTTGGACCTTATGCCCCAAATAAGGGGCCACAAAAGGGGTGTTGGCCAGGAGATAGCAGGTGCAACGAGCTCTTTCCCTTTTGTGGAAAATGGATGGGCATGGGGGAAGGACTGGAAGCAAGGCAGCCAGTGGGAAGCTGTGGAATCCATGGGAGAGGAGGATGATGTGGAAGGAGCAAAGTAGATGATGCATGAGGTGGGAGGGAGGCTGGGCATGGTGGTTCATGCCTGTAATCCCAGCATTTTGGGAGGCCAAGTGGGAGATTGCTTGAGCCTGGAGTTCAAGACCAGGCTAGGCAACATAGCGAGACCCCGTCCCTATAAAAAATAAAAAATTAACCAAGTGTGGTGGTGCACTCCTCTAGTCTCAGCTACTCAGGGGGCTGAGGTGAGAGGATTGTTTAAGCCTAGGAGGTCAGGGCTGCAGTGAGCTATGATTGTGCCAGTGTACTCCAGCCTGGGTGACAGAGTGAGACCCTGTCTCAAACAACAACAACAACAACAAAAAAACCCAAAAATCCAAAAAACAAAAAACAAAACAACAACAACACAATATGTATATATGTAAATGGGAAGGAAGTGGAGGTGGAATCAACAAGCCTTAAAGATACCCCGGAAGTGAGGAGTGAATGCAGGGAAGAATGGCTCCCAGCTTTCTGGTTTGGGCAGACAGATGGAGGGTGATGCCTACAGAGTTGGCAGAGGAGAACTGACCAGAGCAGTGGCTGGCATCTTTGCCCAGGTTCCTGGGTGGGTGGCTGAGCCAAGGGAGCTTTGTAGCTACAGCGCCATGCATCACCAAGCCTCTGCCCAGGCTCCTCACCACCCCCACCCATGGTTCCTTCTTTTCTGGTCATTTGCAGATGCAAGCATCCCTACGATTAGAAGTATTTGATTTTTGCTTTACTGTAGGTTCTATTTTTGTTAAATAGATTAGGCTCCACCAGGAAAACCAAATTGCTGACCAGCTGACCTGAAAGTCTGAGAGATGCAATTTGCAATCTGTTGGAATCTTCGCTTTAAGCCAGGGTGGGCTGCAGATTGGCCCGGGGGGGCGGTGGAGCAGGGCTCAAATTAGGCAGCTGGTGCAGCAGCCGTCCAGGCGCCAGGCAAGGGAGCTCAGGCAGGAAGAGAAAAAGATGCAGATCAGAGAAATAGGAAAGGAAAAATGGACAAGATTTGGTGACTCAGAAAGGGTATCCTGCTGGGAGGTGGGGCTCCTGGGTTCTACTCTGGGATCCCCCAGTCACACTGGTTGCAGTGTCTCCTAGGGTGTAAGGAGATAAAGTTGATATGATCTAAAGCTGGGCCCAGAATTCCTCTTAAAGAGCAGACGATCTTGGTGCCTCCTGGTGGGGAAGAAAGAACCTCCATGTGTTTCTGGGTAGGAAAGACCATGGCCGTCGGGGGCGGCCAGCCACTCTGCTGAGAAAATAGGCTGGAGTTCATTTTCCTCCTGAGGACAGGACCTGGGAGGAGCGGAAGAACCTCTCAAACAAAATTTCATAGTGCAAACTGTTAGGCAAAGAGGAGTGGGAGGTGGAGACCACCCAAGGGTGGCTGCGGAGGGCCCAGGTCAGGGGCTTCTCATGTTCAGCTTGATGCTGCTCCAATTACTTTCTCTGATACAACCCTGCTCTGCCTGGCCCCTAAATCTTCATTGACATCCCCTCAGAAGGCCTTGTCAGAGAGGACAGTTTTTGTGTCTTGTTTTGTATGGGTGTAGAAATAGAGGAGGAGGCTGCATATCTTGCATGGATCAATGTGGCTCTGAGTGGAGGAACACCTGAGGGATCAGGAAGTGGTCCAATTCCCGAGTGAATTCAGCAGAGGCAGGAGCAGGAGAGCGCGAGTCCTCCAGGAATTTGGAGAAGTCTTGAGGTTAGTTGTGGGCATCCCCAAACTGAGGGATGGAGCCTCCTGACAACGTTTCTGGCTCCCAAGCAGCTGACATCAGGTTGTACGTAAGATGCTGGGTCAGACAGGAGGCTCTCCAAATCTTGGAGACGCTCTCTGGCTTGGAAGGTCTGGTATAGGGCCAGTAGGGGTGGTGGTGTGATGAAGGGAAAGGAAGGGCAAAAAGTGTTCTTGAACTCTTGTCTCGGAGGAGGGGAGGCCACATGCTCTGCAGGGATACCCTAGCTCCCCCCACCTGGCCCTCCTTGCCCCTCTGGATATACAAGTCCTCGGTGAGCTCCAGCCAGCAGAGGAGCCCCTCCGTTGTCCCATGCCTGGCTCAGCCCCAGCCCACCTGGAGCCTCGCCTAACTGGAATGCCAGCCTCAGCCGGCCTCGACTGACTCTCCCGCCAGAGCCCCAGTGGCTGTGCTCATCCCTGCTGCCAGGCTGGTAGGAGGAGCAAAGGCATGTGCAGGGCTTTTAGAAGAGTGAAGCGCTGGGTTCATGCAAAGAGTGTGTGGCCGGGAATTTACACTTTTTTTGTTGAGTACTGGCTGTGCATCAGACTAGGCCAGGTACTGGAGATACAACAATCCCCAAGACTTAGTCCCTGCCCTCAGGAAGCCCACAGTCTAGTGGAGGAGACAGACCTATAGATAACCACAGCACAAAGGCACGAGTGCCCTGATTGGCAGAGGGCCTGGGCTGTGGGGAATCTATCCAGCCCAGGCTCACAGAGGGCTTCCTGGAGAGAGGGTTTCTCAAAGTGAGCCCAGAAGCGCTAGGGAGAGATCACCAGGCAAAAGGGAAGGTTGGGGATGGTGAGAGTGTACCAGGAAGAAGGAATCACCTGTGTAAAGGCCTGGAGGTGGGAAAGTAGGCAGAGAGTAGGAAGCAGAAATAGTTCTAGGTTGAAGGGTGGCAGAAGAGAGATAAAGCTCTGAAGGCAGGCAGGGAGCAGGTGAAGAAAGGCCTGTAGCAAAGTCACACCAACAAAGAATGGAAAGCGGAGATCTCTTGCTTTGCCAGATATTAAGGCATATTAGAAAGCCACACTAAGAGGAACAGATGGTTTTGGTTCAAAAACAAACAAGCCAGTAGAAGAGAACAGAACCATGGTTCCCAAACTGGGCCCCGAGGTGTCCCAGGGTACTAGAGTGAACTCGCAGGGGTATTGTGGCATATTTTAAATTTCTGAGGGAAACAGTGATATTTAACATTGATCATACACCATGTGAACTACTAGCTTGAAGTAATTCACAGTCTCAACATTAGATTGTGCCACATCATTTTGATGACATCGCCTCTTTGTGAAACTGGGTTTTCAGTGGTTGCTGTGACGAAAAGCAAGTATGTATAAAAATCGACGAGGAACAGGAAACAATGTGTAAAAATCGACGAGGAACAGGAAACAATGTACAATCTTATTCCAAGGTTTCAGAAGCTGTCCAGCTCCCTATTCCATTAGTAAGGAACTGTACTCATTCAGGAATAAAATTAAAACTTTACTTTTTGTTTCAATTTCTGTGCATTACTTTTTTGAATGGCTACTAAGTTGTCAGGATTTAAATATTTATTTAGTTGTTTGGACCTAACTGCTTAGAAACTTGTAGTATTTCTTTTGGCTTAGAGAAAAAAATATTGTGTGAAAAAATGCCGTGAAAAAATTACTGAGTCACTAAGGGTGCTTTAAACTGAGAAAGTTTGGAAACCTCTGGAATAAAGGGTTAATAGGTAAGCACATTTTTGGAAGGAAATTTAATTTCCAAAAACATGGCACCATAAATCAAAGGGATGTTTAATTGTTTAACAGATGACAGTTGGAAAACTGGTTGACTATATAAGGGAAAGCAAAACTTATGCCAAAATCCATAAACAAGAGTGGATACGTGACCAAGTAAAGGTTTAAATGAGAAAGGTAAAGTTAACAGGAGAAAATGTAGGGGAATATCTTTGAAACCCAGAGGCAGAACTTCTCAAACAAAACTTCCAAAGCACAAACCGTTAGCCCAAAAACTGATTAATTTGATTATATCAAAATTGAGCATTTCCTAGACAAAGGACATCCTGGACAAACAGACAATAGAATGAAAGAAGATTTTTGTAAGGTCTAAAATCAACGTGGTCTTAACACCCAGATTATCCATGGAGTGCCTGAAAATCAACAATATAAAGACAGCAACCCCAACAGAAAAATGGGTGAAGCATCTGAAAAAGCAATTTACAAAAGAGAAAAAACCAGAAGACAGTAGGCACATGAAAAGATGCTTAATATCATTAGAAATTAGAGAAAATTAAAGTGATGTTGCTTTACATCTAATACATGGCAACACTTAGAAATACAGACAATTCTAGGTATTGGTGAAGACAGAGACATGGGGCCTCAGGCACTTCTGGTGGGATGTCACAGGAGCAGGCATTCAGGACAGCGTCTGGCACTACTTAGTCGAATTAAGTGTCCATATACTCTTTGACCCAGAATTTCACTCCTGGGAAACAGCCTAAGAAATTCTCATAAGTGGACATTTAGAAGGCTGCTTAATGCACCTGTGTGTGTGTGTGTGTGTGTGTGTCTGTGTGTGTGTCTGTGTGTGATGGAGGTGACCTAGAGAGAATCATAACCAGCAGATTAGATGTAATGGAAGGATAGATATTAAAAGCACACTGCTTTTTTTTTAACTATTAAAGTTTTAGGGTACATGTGCACAATGTGCAGGTTAGTTACATATGTATACATGTGCCATGCTGGTGTGCTGCACCCATTAACTCGTCATTTAGCATTAGGTATATCTCCCAATGCTATCCCTCCCCCCTCCCCCTACCCCACAACAGTCCCCAGAGTGTGATGTTCCCCTTCCTGTGTCCATGTGTTCTCACTGTTCAATTCCCATCTATGAGTGAGAACATGCGGTGTTTGGTTTTTTGTCCTTGCGATAGTTTACTGAGAATGATGATTTCCAATTTCATCCATGTCCCTACAAAGGACATGAACTCATCATTTTTTAAGGCTGCACAGTATTCCATGGTGTATATGTGCCACATTTGCTTAACCCAGTCTATCATTGTTGGACATTTGGGTTGGTTCCAAGTCTTTGCTATTGTGAATAGTGCCACAATAAACACACGTGTGCATGTGTCTTTATAGCAGCATGATTTATAGTCCTTTGGGTATATACCCAGTAATGGGATGGCTGGGTCAAATGGTATTTCTACTTCTGGATCCCTGAGGAATCGCCGCACTGACTTCCACAATGGTTGAACTAGTTTACAGTCCCACCAACAGTGTAAAAGTGTTCCTATTTCTCCACATCCTCTCCAGCACCTGTTGTCCTGACTTTTTAATGATCGCCATTCTAACTGGTGTGAGATGGTATCTCATTGTGGTTTTGATTTGCATTTCTCTGATGGCCAGTGACGATGAGCATTTTTTCATGTGTCTTTGGCTGCATAAATGTCTTCTTTTGAGAAGTGTCTGTTCATAACCTTTGCCCACTTTTTGATGGGGTTGTTTTTTTCTTGTAAATTTGTTTGAGTTCATTGTAGATTCTGGATATTAGCCCTTTGTCAGATGAGTAGGTTGCAAAAATTTTCTCCCATTCTGTAGGTTGCCTGTTCACTCTGATGGTAGTTTCTTTTGCTGTGCAGAAGCACTTTAGTTTAATTAGATCCCATTTGTCAATTTTGTCTTTTGTTGCCATTGCTTTTGGTGTTTTAGACATGAAGTCCTTGCCCATGCCTATGTCCTGAATGGTAATGCCTAGGTTTTCTTCTAGGGTTTTTATGGTTTTAGGTGTAACGTTTAAGTCTTTAATCCATCTTGAATTAATTTTTGTATAAGGTGTAAGGAAGGGATCCAGTTTCAGCTTTCTACATATGGCTAGCCAGTTTTCCCAGCACCATTTATTAAATAGGGGATCCTTTCCCCATTGCTTGCTTTTGTCAGGTTTGTCAAAGATCAGATAGTTGTAGATATGCGGCGTTATTTCTGAGGGCTCCGTTCTGTTCTATATCTATATCTATATCTGATCTATATCTCTGTTTTGGTACCAGTACCATGCTGTTTTGGTTACTGTAGCCTTGTAGTATAGTTTGAAGTCAGGTATCATGATGAACATTGATACAAAAATCCTCAATAAAATACTGGCAAACCGAATCCAGCAGCACATCAAAAAGCTTATCCACCATGATCAAGTGGGCTTCATCCCTGGGATGCAAGGCTGGTTCAATATACGAAAATCAATAAATGTAATCCAGCATATAAACAGAACCAAAGACAAAAAACCACATGATTATCTCAATAGATGCAGAAAAGGCCTTTGACAAAATTCAACAACGCTTCATGCTAAAAACTCTCAATAAATTAGGTATTGATGGGACGTATCTCAAAATAATAAGAGCTATCTATGACAAACCCACAGCCAATATCATACTGAATGGGCAAAAACTGGAAGCATTCCCTTTGAAAACGGGCACAAGACAGGGATGCCCTCTCTCACCACTCCTATTCAACATAGTGTTGGAAGTGCTGGCCAGGGCAATTAGGCAGGAGAAGGAAATAAAGGGTATTCAATTAGGAAAAGAGGAAGTCAAATTGCCCCTGTTTGCAGACGACATGATTGTATATCTAGAAAACCCCATTGTCTCAGCCCAAAATCTCCTTAAGCTGATAAGCAACTTCAGCAAAGTCTCAGGATACAAAATCAATGTACAAAAATCACAAGCATTCTTATACACCAATAACAGACAAACAGAGAGCCAAATCATGAGTGAACTCCCATTCACAATTGCTTCAAAGAGAATAAAATACTTAGGAATCCAACTTACAAGGGACGTGAAGGACCTCTTCAAGGCGAACTACAAACCACTGCTCAATGAAATAAAAGAGGATAGAAACAAATGGAAGAACATTCCATGCTCATGGGTAGGAAGAATCAATATCGTGAAAATGGCCATACTGCCCAAGGTAATTTATAGATTCAATGCCATCCCCATCAAGCTACCAATGACTGTCTTCACAGAATTGGAAAAAACTACTTTAAAGTTCATATGGAACCAAAAAAGAGCCCGCATCGCCAAGTCAATCCTAAGCCAAAAGAACAAAAGCACACTGCTTAATGAAAAGGAAGAAAAAAGAGGATATATATTATATATATAATACATTTACATAAATACAAATAATAACACACATTTTGCAAAACCATATACCAAAAAAGGTACAATTGGACAGACATAGGGAATGGCAGTGAGAAATGGGGATGAAAAGGAATGAATGGGTGAATGAATGAATGAATGAATGAATGTAACAGAGCCGAGCCTTCCCTGAAGCAGTGATGTTAACTGTCACGAACTGATGACTGAAAGCAACTAAATTCTCTGTACCTGAAGGAGGTTAAACGAAGTAAAATTGAACCTAGACTTTACCTTAAGGGCAGGGGAAACCAACCAGAGTTGAGGAGGTCTGTGCTTGGTACACATGTGTTTGTTCATTCAATTAGTCATTTGTGCACTCATTCTTTCATCACATTTTTGTGATCAGTCTCTTCTGGGCCACGCACTGTGCTGGGCTCTAGGTATAACACGCAGAGCAAACAGGCATTCCATGGCTCTGGTCCTACTGCAAGGCCAAGTGCCTAATTGGTCTCCACTGGTGTTCAAAGGCTCCAAACCTGGGCAAACCAGGTGGGCCACAGGCCTGGTGGATATTACCACCTTCCCATTTCCTGGTTGACAAAAATGAGGCTCAGACAGGTGAGTCATTGAGTCACAAGGTCACAGCTATGACTTTGAGTGGCAGAGCTGGGATCCGAGCTCAGGTCTGCGGAACTCTGAAGCCAGTTACTTCCCCTCCAACCCCAGCAGGAGAGCAGGAGAAGCACTGTAGTAGTCCTACCCCGGGTTGGCTGTAGGCCTCCTCTGGCTTAGCTTACTCATTCAGGGCAGGTCCGGGAAGGCTTCATGTAGGAGGCAGCGCTGGAGGATGAGGTTGTCTGCTTTTTCACAATTGTATTCCAATGCTAGAAATGCACGTAGTATGTAATAGGTGCTCCATAGATAGTTGTAAGTGAATGGATGGACAAATGAATGAAGAAACGGAGAGGACATACATAGGGCTGTGAGGAGCTCAGAAGGCTGGCACATGAGGGGTGGGGAGGCAGGTCTTGAATCCCAGGCTAAGAAGTGTAGACACTTTGTCAGCTGCAGGGGCCTCCTGCCAAGGTTTGAGCCAGGGCATCCATCCCCTTTACGGGTCATGCTTAGGCAAAGAGAACATCATGTTGCTTTGCCTACTCAGAGTCAGCGCAGTGTGACACATAACCTATCCAGGACTTAAAGCACAGAGTGGTGTAAAGGGCACTGAAATAGCAATCCCAAGATGGCATGCTGGCTCCGTGTATAGGTTTCTCCATTTGCAAAATGGTGTGTGTGAGCCTGCATCTGCCAGTGTGTGTATGCACACGTGTGTGTTAGAGTGAGGGCAAGGAGTACTGGCTAGGACAGTCTCCCAGGCTCTCCTGGATCTCACAGTGCTCAGCTCTGAGTTTGATGAGTCACCAGTTGAGCCCCCAACCTTGGAAACAGTGGGCTGGGCTGGCAGACAGGTGTCCCTGGCATGCCTGATTGAGAACCCATTCTCCCTTTTGGCTCAACTCCCCAACTAGAAACCCAGATGGCTCCACAAGGGAGTTGGGGGACTATTGGTTTCATGGACTAAGCCTAAAAATCTTCCATCAGCTAAAATATCTTCCATTAAGAGAAAAGTGTTAGCAGGCCAGGAGTGGTGGCTCATGCTGTAATTCTAGCACTTTGGGAGGGAGGCCGAGGTGGGCAGATCAACTTGAGGCCAGGAGTTCAAGATCAGCCTGGCTAACATGGTGAAACTCAGTCTCTACTAAAAATACAAAAAGTTAGCTGGGTGTGGTAACCTATGTCTGTAATCCCAGCTACTTGGGAGGCTGAGGCACGAGAATTGCTTGAGCCGGGGAGGTGGAGGTTGCAGTGAGCAGAGATTGTGCCACTGTACTCCAGCCTGCGTGACAGAACAAGAATCTGTCTCGAAAACAAACAAACAAAAGAGACAGGTGTTAGCAAAAAAGGAAAGAGAAATGGAAGGCAGGGCTGCTGCTTTGATGGTCCCAGTGTTTGCCTGAGGAGGGTCAGGAGGTTCTTCTAGCGGCAGAAACCAGAATGAAGGCTGTGAGATGTCAGGAGCAGACTATGAACAAACACAGTTGAGTGTCTTAGGCTGTTTGTAGGGCTGGAGTGAGGTCAGGAGAAGCTGGGGAAGATGAATCAATGAACCACTTGGGTTCTCTCCTTTCCCCTCCCACCTCTGGCCTGGGCTTGGGGGCGTCCTCATTCCCATTTACTATGGCTCTTCTAAGCCCTCTGGTCAACTTACGTGAACTGCTAGAGAATTCAAGAGTCACAGTTTCTTATATTTACAGGACTTGTACCTGGTTTATAGCTGCCAATGCACTTCAGAGTGCACATTTATTTTTCTTGCTCAGCAACCCATCCCCCTTTGGATGGTTTTAATTGAGAGACTATGTCAGCCAGGGTCTTTGATAACCACACTCTAAGGTGGCCCCAAATGACTCTTGCCTCCTGGCGGTCACTACCAAATTCCATCATCCCCTTCCACATTGAATAGGGCTGGCCCGTGTAACTTGTAGGATATGTCTAGAGAAATGGCAGTGTGTACTTTCCAAGAGTAGGTCATAAAAAGATGCCGCAGCCTCAGTTGTTTTCTTTTGGATTACTCATGCTGGTGAAAGCCAGCCACCGTATCATGAAGACACTCAAGCAGCCCTGTGGATTACTCATGCTGGTGAAAGCCAGCCACCGTATCATGAAGACACTCAAGCAGCCCTGTGGAGGGGTCCTGAGGAACTGAGTCCTGTTGATAGCCAGCATCCACTTGCCAGCCATTTGTGGGAGACATCTTGAAAGCAAACCTCCCAGCACTAGTGAGCCTTAGAATGACTGCAGTCCCCACTGACATCTTGCCTGTATTATCCGAGAGACCCCAAGCCAGAACCTTACAGCTAAGTCACTCCTGAATTCCTAACCCACAGAAACTATGTGAGATAATAAACATGTATTGTTGTTTTAAGCCACTACACTTTGGGATCATTTGTTACGACTTAACAGATAACTAATACAGGGCCACAGGAGGAAACATAATTCATCCTGGATGGCTCAAAAGAAGAGACTTTATTAAAAACTACTCGCAGGGTAGGGGGCAGATTGAGGGAGTAGACAAGGGAAGGTGATGTGCCCATGGACCAGCAATGGCAGGAGTTGCTACCATACCTCAGAACGGAAGGAGGAAATAGTGTCACTGGAGATTCAACAAAGTGGGAGACAAGAAGGAGAAGCCACAGCCATGGAGGGGCACAGGTATTTCAGGAGACGCAGCTCCAAAGCAGGGAGGAAGGCAAAGGCTGCACCTGACCAATCTCCTTCCTCCTGGACTCCAATCTCTTGCCTATATTGAACCAGAAACCAGAAGACAGGGGATGTCATCATGGGATCAGCCTCCTAGAGCACCAGAGCAGGGGAGAAAATGCGTGTAAGGAAGAAGAAAAGTAGAGAGACAACACAGAGAGACCCACTTGGCCCCATGCTCAGCCTTGAAGTTCTGTGAAGATGGCTCTATGCAGGGATGGATCACATGACTGGAACTAAGCCAATCAATACAGACTATTCTAGCTATGTGATTGGTTCAGAAATGGGCACATGACCCAAGTCAGCCAGCCAATCAAAACTAACGGGACTAGCAGGGATTTTGCTGGTGCTATAAGGAAAATGGGTTCCCTTTTTTGCTGGACTTGGTGCTGACATGATGAAAAGCAGAAGCAACTGTGCATAGGCCTAGAATGGACCTGGCCCAGGAGAAAGCAGACCCAGAGATGGAGAGCTGGAGAAACCTCATCCTAGACTTTACTGCTCCTTTGCTTAAGTACAGTTTCCTATCACTTGCACCAAAAGAGTCCTGAATGATACATTCTCATCCACATCTTTGGTGATCCTTGAGGCAGCTTTCTGGGTAGGTTGGCAAAGACCATTGATTTCATTTTACAGAGGAAGAGACTGAGGTTCATTTCGCTTTATCACATGGCAACCAGTTCATTTTATTTCATGATTAAATTAAAAACTCACCCAGGTTTTTGGTGTGTGTGTGTGTGTGTGTGTGTGTGTGTGTGTTTGAGACAAAGTGTTGCTCCGCTGCCCAGGCTGGAGTGCAGTGGTGCAATCTCGGCTCACTGCAACCTCCACCTCCCGAGTTCAAGCGATCCTCCTGCATTAGCCTCTTGAGTAGCTGGGATCACAGGCATGCACCACCATGCCCAGCCAATTGTTGTATTTTTAGTAGAGGACCGGGTTTCACCATGCTGGCCAGGCTGGTCTTGGACTCCTGACCTCAAGTGATCCGCCCACCTCAGCCTCCCAAAGTGCTGGGATTACAGGCATGAGCCACCACGCCTGGCCGGATTTTGGTATATATTTTTGTCATCACATTTTATGGTTTTAGATTTCTGACTTCTATGTCAGTGACCTCGCTACGTACATGCCTTTTATTGAGAACTGCTTCAAACTCTCCTTAGAAGTAGGCGATACACTATGATTAATTTTAGTCAAACAAGCAAACAAGGCATGGTGGTTAGGAAGATTTTCCAAGGTCACACATCTTGCAGGCAGTGGATTACAGGAAGACAGGACCAAAGCTTGTTGAGGACAAGCCATTCACTCAGTGTCTTCCCAGGGACTTCAGAACAAAGCAGGGGAGCTTTTCAGTCTGGAAGGGGAGGCGAGAAAACAGATGTCTTCTCTTGACTTCTGAGTTGGCCACAGTCCTTTTAAGTAGCTTACTGGGATGATGCAATCTAGATTTCTCTGACATTGTCTCCAACTTCCCTCCCCCTTGCTGATACCATTCCAGCCACACTGGCTTCCTTGTCATGCCCACACACTCCAACTTCTTTGCCTGCCTGGTAATTTTTCACTGGATGTCAGACCCTTCATTGGGTGTTAGCTTTTAAAAATACTCCTTGAGGCTGGGCGTGGTGGCTCATGCCTGTAATCCCAGCCCTTTGGGAGGCCGAGGCGGGTGGATCACAAGGTCAGGAGATCAACACCATCCTGGCCAACATGGTGAAACCCTGTCTCTACTAAAATAAAAATAAAAAAATTAGCCGGGCTTGGTGGTGCACATCTGTAGTCCCAGCTACTTAGGAGGCTGAGGCAGGGGAATCGCTTGAACCCGGGAGGTGGAGATTGCAGTGAGCCAAGATCATGCCACTGTACTCCAGCCTGGCGACAGAGCGAGACTCCGTCTCAAAAAAAAAAAAAAAAAAAAAAGTTCCTTGAAATATTCTTAAGTTCTGTCTGGGACATAATTAAGTTACTTGGAAGGAGTTTGACCCTTTCGAGTCTTGCTTTTAAGCTTTTTTAGGTGGGACCAGAGCTGCCTTTAGTCTAGGGTTCATTTCACCCCACTCCTGAGATGACCCCCTTCTGAGTATTCTCCTTGTGATTTATTAAACTTTTTCCCACCCAACGTGGTGGGAACATGAACTATTCCCAGGCCTGCCTGAGCTCTGAGGATCCTTCTGCCTGTCTTTTCCTTTCTGCTGGTTCTTTCCCTGGTCTCAAGTGCTTTCCTCTGTACATGTGCCAGTAAGTACTCAGCTGAGGGTGTGAGCAGACCTGCATAGTTCTCCCTCTCCATGCAGCTCTCTCTTCTCCAGTGCTCTGCCTGCAAACTTCTGCCTCCTTTGTCTCTGAATTCTCATCTCTGTCTCTGCAACTCAGCAAGACTGCCAGGCTCTGTTTGGGTTCCCCCTTCCTGTGCTGGAAACCCTCCAGATGGTCATCTGGGCGATTGTAAGATTCACTTCCTTTGTGCTCCTCCTCTCAGGGGTCACTGTCCTCTGCTGCTTGTAGCCCATGTCTGAAAACTGTCATTTCACATAGTATTTGGACTGTTTTTTTTTTTTCTTTAACTTGTTTACAGCAGGAGGGTAAATCTGGTCCCTATTACTCCTCCATCTTGGTTGGAAGTGGGAAGTGGAAGCCCCCAACTCCAGAACTCCAGATACTCTCACCTGGACTTTGGCTGGCTGCTTATCTGCTTGGCTCACTCTTACCTACTCGCTTGCACAACTCATTCCCTCACCTCCTTCAATGCTTTTCTCAAATGTTACCTTCCCAATGTGGCCTTCTCTGGCCAGCCTGTTTAAAACTCTCTTCTCGCCATCCACTGGTAGCATTTCCAATCCTCCTCATCCTCCTACACATCTTTCTTTCTTTCTTTTGGAATAGCAACCATTGTCTTCTGACAACCTGTATACTTTTCTCATTTAATATGGCAAGAACTGATTGTTTGCTCCTGGCACTAGACTGTAAACTCTCTGAAGAAAGGGATTCATTTTGGTTTTGTTCACAGCTGTATTCCTAGCTCCTAGGGCAGTACTTGGCACATAGTAAGTTCTCAAAAATTATTCGTTGAATAAATAAATGATGGAAAAGGTGATAGAAAAAAAAACCCACATAAGCACAGTTATGAAGTTTGGAAATTCTGATGCATGTGTGGGAGAGTAGCTAGTATGCCTCCTGGGTAAGAGCAGAATTCAGAGAAATAGCTGGAAACACAAGTATGGCCTGGTGGTGGAGTTCCTAAAATGCCAGGCTATATCCTACAGGCAGTGGGGAGCCATGGAAGGTTTTGTCTGTTTTTTTTTGTTTTGTTTTGTTTTGTTTTTTTGATAGAGTCTCACTCTATCACCCAGGCTGAAATGCAGTGGTGCAATCTCATCTCACTGCAACCTCCACCTCCCAGGTTCAAGCAATTCTCCTGCCTCAGCCTCCCAAGTAGCTGGGATTACAGGCACCTGCCACCATGCCCAGCTAATTTTGTATTTATTTTATTATCACTATTTTTATTTTATTATCACTATTTTTTGAGATGGAGTCTCGTTCTGCTGCCCAGGCTGGTGTGTAGTGGTGTGATCTCGGCTCACTGCAACCTCTGCCTCCTGGGTTCAAGTGATTCTTGTGCCTCAGCCTCCCAAGTAGCTGGGACTACAGGCATGTGCTACCACGCCCAGCTAATTTTTGTATTTTTAGTAGAGACAGGGTTTCACCATGTTGGCCAGGCTAGTTTTGAACTCCTGATCTCAAAGTGATCCACTGCCTTGGCCTCCCAAAGTGCTAGGATTATAGGCGTGAGTCACTGCACCCGGCTCAAGGAAGGTTTTTAATAAGGAGTACCATGGCCAGAGATTATTTAGGAAGGCTAATATGGTGAGTGTGAGAATGAGCCAGAATGAATGAGCGGCAGAGGGGACAGAGAAAAAGGGGTGGTGGTTGGGATTTCACGGGGGTGGAGTCAGCAGGGCTTGGCAGATGGAAGGGAGGAGTTGAAGATGATCGCTGTATATATCTCTCTGTAGAAACACGGCTGGCATGACAGTGCAAACTTTGGTTCTAAAAATCCCACTGAGGTGGGTGGGAAGGTGGAAGAGGGGTATAAAACAAACAGAGCATTAGAGGTGGCTGACCCCAGCACACAAACCAGGATCCTGGCATTTCCCACCTGCATGAATTTGACAAGCTACACAACCCATTGATCTTCAGTTTCCTCTTCTATAAGATGGTCCTAATCGTGTCTCCCTCACAGGGCTTGTTCCGAGGAAATTTAGTACTTCAGGAGCTTAGTAAATGTTGGTTCTCATCATAAACCTTTTCTTTTCCATTATTTTGGAGTCCCGAGTCCTGAGCACTCTGAGGGTCTCTTTGACCATGCCAGGCACCATCTCCTCTATCCTACAGATGAATTGAGGCACAGAACTCAGCCCCACGTGAGGCCCACTGACTGTCCAACCCAGGACATGTCAGATAAATCCCATGGCCTCCAGTCTGGTCACCACCACTCATAAAGGCTAGAGTGGGCAGTGTGAGCCCGAGGAGAGGACCCCAGGCTGGATGTCTGCTCCAAATCCCATCACTTTGGGGGTGTGTGGGAGAAATGGGACGTGTTTCCATTACACTGGAGTTTAGAAGCTCAGGATACTCTGTTCACAGGAGACTTTAATTCTCAAGACATCTGTCCAGCAGCTAAGGTCATTAAACATGAATTACTGAAGCAGCTCTTCATAAGCTAGTTGATGGAATTACTAGATTGGAGGATGAACAGGGAATTTTGTGTACGCTGTGTAAAGCATTGCAGAGCTGCATATGCCGCAGGGACTCTGCCAAATTAGTGAAGGGGAATTGACAGTGATTATGTGGATTAAACTGTCACTACGTATGGCTTATAAAGATCCTGCATGCTTGAGAGAGAATCTAGGTCACTGTTTTATTATATGCCATGGGTCTGTAAGTATATACATGTATGTAAAGACATGTACACATACATACACATGTACAAAATTACTGCCTTCATACATTTACACTAAGGATATACTAGAGTCACAGTCTGCAGGTGATGAATCATGAAAGTAATTAACTGTACACTAAGGCCTTGAACCTCAAGACTTTTTCAAGCTAGCCTCTACCTTATGTTAGGCAATATCCTATATGTTTTTTTCTACATATTCAAGATTAAGTTACATACTATTCCCTCAAGCTTGGGGCATTGAGGAGAAAGAAGACTGGGACATCATGTCCTCTAGGCCCAGAAAACTGAGGTCCATGTGGGACAGGACATGTTCAAGGCCTCTTTGATGTCTACTTCAACCTTTCTTTCCTTCCCTGCCTGATTCATTTCTGTCTGATGATTCCTGGGGCCACAGCCCCCAGACAAAGAGATGTTTAATGTATTGATACCTGGGCATGTTTCTGTGGAAGGTGGGGGCTCAGAAGACAATGTGGTCCTGATCTCAGGGACCAGGGCTGAACCTTATGGAGAGAGTGGCTAGGTGGAAGACAGAGGGACAATGTTCACAGGTGGGATGGTTAATATTGAATGTCAACTTGATTGGATTGAAGGATACAATCCTTCAATCCAATGAAGTATTGTTCCTGGGTGTGTCTGTGAGGGTGTTACCAAAGGAGATTAACATCTGAGTCTGGGACTGAGGGCTGGGAAAGGTGGGTCCACCCTCAATCTGAGTGGGCACAATCTAATCAGCTGCCAATGCAGCCAGAATAAAAGCAGGCAGAAGAACGTGAAAAGCCTAGACTGGCTTAGCTTCTCAGCCTACATCTTTCTCCCATGCTGGATACTTCCTGCCCTTGAACATTGGACTCCAAGCTCTTCAGCTTTGGGACTTGGACTGGCTTCCTTGCTCCTCAGCTTGCAGATGGCCTATTGTGGGACCTCACCTTTTGATCATATGAGTCAATACTTCTTAATAAACTCACCTTTATATAGACATCTATCCTATTAGTTCTGTCTCTCTAGTGAACCCTAATACAACAGGGAACATGGTGGGGCTCAGGGCACAAGCAGCTGAGCTCTGGGCCAGTCAGTGGTGTGCTGGTAAATGTTCAACAACAGGGTCTCTGAAGGGGAGAAGAAGGAAGCTCTGATTTGTAGCGTTTACCCATTACCATGGCATAAATACTCCCATCATGGCCTATTCAAGCTACTAACGTAACCTCATAGAATAAGAAGTTGGGAAGAGATGTGCACAATCGGCTCTCAGCAGCTGATATACACCAATTCCAACACACCACTGGGCCCAGTTGACCAAGTGTGATACAGCAAGTGTCAGAACAGCCTTCTTCCCTACTGAAGACTGAGGTCACCGCAGCCCTGTATAAGCCCCATGCATTTTGGGGCACTGGGGAACAAAGATCTGGCAATAAGATGGTGACAGCCTCCACAAGTGGCTGCGGGCATGGAGAGTCACCAAGGAGGCTGTGCCACCAGGCCAAACAAGGACAGTTTGTGAGGACCCTGAGATGCCTCCAGGGACACAGGAAAGACTAGGGGAATTGTGGGGAGTGGGTCTTGAGGTCACACTGTTCTGTAGGTAGGGGCAGCACACAAGGAGGTTTTCTTAATGTTGGTGTAACCTCATGTGTAGACCTAGGCTGGAGTGGGTTCTGCCCATTGGTATCATGTTTGCCTCCATAGATCATGAAAGCCTAAAGGGCCAGGCTCAGAGCAAAGCTCTTCTGCACACTCCATATTCTCAGTTTTTAATGCGCATTTGCCAAACATCCTTCTGGACCTGATCTTTGCTTCTGCATGAGTGGAATGTTTTCCTGTGGGATCAGGCCAAAGAGCTGCACCATTCCATTTTCTCTGGGCTGCCAAGTAAATTTTCAGATTATCCAGATGCTTAAAGTATGCAAAATACTGTAGAATCTATTGATGTATTTCTTTAATTTACTATAGTAATGCTCACAGTATATATAACTTCAGAACCATTCAGTTCAAAATGGAAAGTAATTGCATTAGGAGCACACCCTCCATCATCCCCTCTCTTCTGTCGTAACTGGTAAAACACCAAGCCCTATCAGTTTTCTTCCTGAAGTGTGCCTTGAATCCATCCACTCCTCTCTATACCCAATATCACTGAGATGGCTGATACCAGCATCCCTGCAGGTGCTGTTGCTTTGCTCTGACCTGCTCTCCCCACCACAGCCAGAGGGAGCTTCTTAAAAACAGCAGTCAGGTTGCTCCCTTGCTAGACACTTTTCCACTGGTCTTAGTATAACATGGCCTCCACCCACCACTCCAGGCTCATCCCACTTTATTCCAGCCACACTGGCTTTCTCAAAGGTGCCACACTTTCTCTAACCCCAGGGCCTTTGCACCTGCTCTTCCCTTTTCCAGAAATGCTCTTCCACCCACTTTGCCTAGTTAGCTCCTATTTGTTCTTCAATCTCAACTCAAAGTCACCTTCTCAGGGAAGCCTTTACTGATCCCCAGTCTGTCACTCATCCACAACACTTTAGAGTTTGTTATGCACCTTCCTTATTTCATCTTCAGGTCTCCACGTTATGGGCACCCCTGTAACTTTCTTTCAAAGCACTTTTCACCATTTATATTTAAATGGTTATTCGGATGATTATCAGTTTTCATCTGTTTCCTCCTGGGTACAGGGATCACATCTGCCCTGCTCACAGTTGTACCCCCAGCAGCCGCCACCCCTATCCTCCTCATACTATAGGTGGTTGTAAATGTCTGTAGAATAAATGAATGAACAAAGGGAAACAGTCATGTCTCTGTGGTTGTACCAAGTTTTTACCTGTGGTCCCATCACTGATGATAAACCTTCCATGGCCCAGAAAGAGTGTTTTATTAGCCCTAGGACATATAGTTAATTTCTTCACTGTCAATATCTGATTTCTTCTGTTATTTAAACAACAACAACCATATATATATATATATATATATACCCATAAATATACCATATATATATATATACACACACACACACACCATATATATATATATATATATATATATATATATATATATATATATATATATATATATATAGTATGGCGTTCTTTCTTCTACTACCACAGATCCTTCAATCATCCACAACACTTTACAGTTCGTTGTGCACCTTCCTTGCTTCATCTTCAGAGCAACCCAGTGAGGGGTCCCTGGTCATTATTTTCACTTTGCAGAAGATAACACAAAGATTAGAGACTTGCGGAGGTCACCAGCTGCTAAGACACTGGGGACAGCATGCAACCTTGATCTGCAGGCTCCATGCCCCGTGCTCCTCCTATTACACCAAGCTGCCTCCCCCAGCAAGCTAAATGAGCTGCCCAAAAGAAACAGCATCACTTCACTCTTGCCTAGAATTTTGCTTAAATACTTTCAGAATCATTTTTGCAACTGGAACGTTTCTCAAAAGAAGAAAACTAGTTCATCACAGTAATCAAGTCTGTCACAGAGGATGTGTGATGATGTTTGAAAATATAATCCTATGAACATCAGAACTGACAACTCTGAAACATCTCTAGGCTAAATCTGCTAATAACAGTCTTTAGCATTCAGGTTGGCACTCACATGGGTCGGTGTGATACATTTCACAGCAGAAATGCCCTAAGAAGGAACTTTCTCAAAGAGTAACTGGGTAGAGGACAGATTTTAATGAGGCCCTTTCACACTGAAAGGGTGAAGTGTGAGTGAGGAATAAAGGCATCAGATAAAACATGTATTTCCGTGAGTCAGATGACAAGATGAGACCTCACATCAGAAAATGTGGCAAACACTTTGTAGAGGTCAGGACCTGTACAGAAAAGGAGTCAAAATATCAGGGCCATTGCCTCTGAAGATCCTTCTAGAGAAACGTGCTTTGATTAAAATGCAGCAGACACATGAACTGAAATTACCTCTCCTAGGCCTAGTGTTCACATACTCACTAGCTCAGTTACCCACCCTTCCACCCACAAACTCATCCACCCATTCATCTATGCCTGTCCACAAACCTGCCTAGCTATCCACCTGCTATCATCTATCAATACAACCACCGTCTATCCATCCATCCCTCCATCCATCCACCCACCCACCTGTCCATCAATCTACTCACATAATCATCCATCTATCCATCCATTCATCTATATCCATCCACCTACCCACACATCCATACACACATCCACTCCTCTATATCCATCCACCTATCTACACATCTATCCTTTCATCCATCCATCCACCCACAAACTCATCCACTCATTCATCTATGTCTGTCCTCTTATCTGCCCACCTGCCATCTTCCTGTTAATCCATCCATCTACCCACACATCCATCTGTGCATATATCTATTCACATAACTATCCATCCATCCATCCACCCACCCATCCACCCATATATCCATCCATCCATCCATCCACCTACATACTCATCCATTTATCCATCCATGCACCTATAGCTATTGACCTACCCACACGTCCATCCATCCACCCATCTGTATCCATCCGCTGTCCACACATCTATCCATCCATCCGTCCATCTATCTATGCACCTATCCATCCATCCACCTACCCACCACCCACATACCCATCCATCCATCTACCTAAATGCTCATCCATTCATTCATTCACCCATGCATCCATCTACCCACATACTCATTCATTTATCCAACCATCCATCCACATCTATCCACCTACCCACGTATCCATTCATCCATCCACCCATCTGTATCCATCCACCTGTCCACACATCTATCCATCCATCCATCCATCCATCCACCCATTTATCCATCCATATTTACCTACCCACACGTTATCCCTCCATCTATATCCATCTACCTATCCATCCATCCATCCATCCATCCATCCATCCATCCATCCATCCATCTATATCTATACACCTACCCACATATTCATCACTCATTCGCCATTCACTCCTTCCACTCAGCCATCCAACTATCTACTCACATTCCCACCCCTCCACCCATCCCCCAACCCATGTCTCCACCACTCTACCCATCTGCCCATACATTCAACCAGCCTTCCTGTGTATCTATTATGTGTAAAACCCTGAGGAGACATTCAAGAAGTAGGGGACAGGGATGATAAAAGTCTCTCTGATGTATCTGTTCACTAACTTCAATTATAGTCCAGGCCATGTGCTAGAAACTGAAAACAGAGATAAATCTCAGAAAGACCCTACCCTCAAGGAGTTGGTAGTAGAAGTTAATTCATGCAAGCGAATGAATTAACTGGAATCAAAATTATTGCAAAAGAGGGTGAATTCAAGGATTTCTACATTGTGCTGCTGGGGTCTGAGGGCCATGTTTCTAAGAGTAGTTTGACTCTGCTCTGTTCAGTGGACACCCACTCCCTGGCCTGCCACCATTTTTTATTACTGAAAACATGGGAATGAGGTGAAAGGGCATTAAACAAAAAGGCTATTAACCCTACCACAAAAACCTCATGCGTAAAAAGCACAGTACTGTTTGCTGCTTTGGTAACTACACAAGCTGGCCAAGAAAATCAATGTGCTGCTGCTGCTGGTGGATCCCTCTCCCTTCTCTCTCTCTCTCTTTCTCATTCTCTTTCCCACTCTCTTCTGATTCATTTCTTAAGCTTTTAAGGGGATGACCACAGTGACTTAACATAAAGATAAAGCAATAAGGAGGTCACTGTTTCCCAAACCTTGTCATACGTGTGCCACCCTCATGGTTTTCACAATATCTACCCGCCATCTGTGCTTTCCTTTACTAAATATCTGCCTTAAAAAAAAAACTGAAAAAAGAGTGCTTATCTCGCTACCTTAAATGCTGGTTATATTTTTACAGTGCACATTCAAATAAACATGCAACATTAAAATAAAGAGTGTGGGTCTGGATACCAGCTACCGTGGTTCCTTCTTGGGCACCTGTTGCTCTATTGGAAAAGCTGCCATTGCTGCCAGGCTGTCCTCCAGGGCCTGCCTCCTGTGAGATGACCTGACAGCTCAGACCCAGGTTCCCCATGAAGGCTTTGCTTCTTCTTTGTTACTGCAGAAATTTGCTTACTAATTTTTAAATCCAAAGGGACAGTCAGCAAAGTCTTCCAAAGAGCAAATTGGAAAAAGAAAATGTAATATTAAAGGCAATGTTAATACTAACATAAATGTTAAATGAAGGACACTAATATCGGGCTTCTAGGTAAAATCTCCTTTGAAAAACAAGTTTGAAAACTCCTGGAATACGTTGATACATAGCTGTATACATGATGAATATGAATACCCATAGACCACATATTTAGGGATGTGTGTGTGCATGCATGCATGTGAGTGTGTTTGCGTGCATATGAATGTCAGAATGTGAATTACCAAAGATGGCAAGAGCTGCAAGAATCCAACTGAAGCAGCTGGTTGGGGACCCACCAACCACAGAATCCCATGGAAAATTAATTATAGGTGTTTGAGGGTCTAGAAGACTGTGAAGTTGGTATCCAAATACATTCTTCCTTGTCATCCTTGCACTAATTCAGCACATACTGTGTCCCAGGCACTCAACATGTATAAACCTCTTTAATCCTCACAGCCCTTTAAGGTAGGCCCCGTTGTTATCTATAGGGGTAACTGGGGGGCTTGCCCAGTATTTTGGCCTCTTTAGGGCCAAAGCACCATCATTCCCCAGCTCCTGAGAATATTGGCTACTGAAGGTCCCAGCCTACTTCCTTACTGCGAATTACCCTCCACCATGAGGAACTGCCTTGGCTAAGGATACACCTGCTCCTAGGGCCAGTGACTAGCTGATAAGAGGACACCTGGGCCCAGCCTCTGCTCCATCACAGCTCCAGAGCTACCAGAATCAGCTGGAGCCTCAGTTGCAGCCACACTGCCATCAGCTTCTTGCTCTTGTTCTGTCCCCTTCACTTCCCTACAGGTGTATCCAGAGCATGCTCTCTGACAAACCTTCTGCAAAGATGTCCCATCTCTATTTACAAGGAGCTTGATCTAAGGCACTATCTATGTTTTACAGATAAGAAACTGAGATGAAGAGAGATTGATTCCTTGCTCAAGTTTACCTGGCTAGCAAGTGGAGCCAAGATGAGAACCTAGGAATTCTGTCTCCAGGTTCCACACTCTTAACCATTTCATACCTCTTAGGAAGACAAAGGTGGACACCCCCTTCCAGTCCCTTATAGTCCCCCACTTCCCCCCTTCTACAATTTACAATGCCCCAACCAGACTCCAGGTCTTTACTTTAAAATTACTGGTTTAGGCAGTAATTCTAGGAAGCCTGAATCCCATTGAGAAAGAAGAAGGAGGTGGCAGTGGTGGTTAGAATTTCATGAGAAAGTGGCATGAAATTTCATGAGAAAGTGGACACTTCCAAGTGTCCTTCTCTCCATCACGCAGGTCTGGTTCTCATCCACGTGAGCACAGAGTGTCACATCGAGTGTGTGTGAGTAACCTCTGCATGAGCACACACAGGCGGAGCCAGTGTCCATCAGGGCCCACAGCCATGCCATCCTGTCGGCTAAAATTTATGTCAGCTGTCTTCTCCTGATTTTAGAAAACTTCCTTCCTGCTTAGCAAGCTCCTGGGCTAACATACCTTGACACACACACAGAGAGGGAGATTCTGGTCTCACACCAAGAGAAATGCACGTAATCTTCAGATTCGTTTTTCATATAGGATCTGGATATATCTCTGAGTATTTTCCTCAATAGTGGGGCTACCACTAATGTTTAATTGTACTATTTACTTTAAAATATTTGCTATTTATATTTTCAACATGTAAAAATGCACATTCTTAGGTTTCTGTATGTAAAAGCAACCAGACTTTTGCTGGGCTAATAACTATTTGGTTAGCGGTAGCTTGCAAATACCATTATTTCCCTCTAAAATTAGCAAACTACCTATGATATCTTTAAAAATACTTAAAAAATAAATGTACAGCTAAATAAAATTGCTCTATCATAATAAATAATAGCTAAATAAAATAAGCTCTCCCATAATAAATAACCCATTTAATAAAAACTCCTCTGAAGGAAGTTATTATTATTATTATTATTTATTATTTTTTGAGACAGAGTCTCACTCTGTTGCCCAGGCTGGAGTGCAGTGGCATGATCTCAGCTCACTGCAACCTCCACCTCCTGGGTTCAAGCAATTCTTCCACCTCAGCCTCTCAAGTAGCTGGGATTACAGGTGTGTGCCATCACAACCAGCTAATTTTTGTATTTTTAGTAGAGACAGGGTTTCACCTGTTGGCTAGGCTGGTCTAGAACTCCCAACCTCAGGTTATCCACCTGCCTTGGCCTCCCAAAGTGCTGGGATTACAGGCATGAGCCACTGCGCCCAGCTGGGAGTTATTTAATGGGTATGCAGTTTCAGTTTAGGATGATGAGAAAGTTCTGGAGATAAATAGTGGTGATGCTTGTATAACATGGTCAATGTGCTTAATGCCATTGAATTTGTACACTTAAAAATGACTAAAACAGTAAACATTATTTTATACATATTTTATCACAATTTAAAAAACGATAGGGTTAAGAAGATTGAGAACCACTGCCATGGAAAAAGTTTTATAATGTGAGGGACCAAAATAAATGATAAAGAAATTAAAATAAAAAGGATCACATCTGAATGTGAAGTGTCCCATGAGTCTGTCTGAATGATGAGGTTTCAGGAGACTGATTTCTCTTTGGTGCGTGCCTGTACTTTTCACATTTTCTACAAGGGACATGGATAATTTTTATAATCCAAAATAAATATGTATTAATATATGTTATTTTGAAACACATGAATAAGTTAGAACAGGGCAGGTGAGGTTATAAAATGCCCTCCCTCCTCCCGATCAGGGGAAAGGTGGGTACAATATAAAGAGTCTCTTCCAGTGCTGTGGCCAGAGCTTTCAGTGAGGCTGGCCCAGAACCAAGGGGCTGGGGCCTGGCTTCAGCCTTGCCTCTTACTCAGCAGGTTAGGGAGAGCCACAGAGCTCCCCCTGGAAACTGGGGTGGTGGGAAGTGCTGATCTCATTGGTTTATTTCCACATTGTCCTTCTCGGGCTAGATTCTTTTGCCCCCTAATGGAGGAGAGCTTTTATAGGTGTAGGATAATGGTTAAAAGTGAGGGTCGAAAGTTAGATGGCTTATGTTCAAATCCCAGCTTCTCTACTCACTAGCTCTGTCACCTTGGGTAAATTTTTTAACCTCTTAGGTTGAATGAGAGGGTTAAATTACTTAATCCTCTACCTCCTTAACCTCTTAGCTGCAAAACAGTGACAATAAATAGCAGTCTCCACTTTTTGGGGATGTGTCAGTTTGCTTGGGCCATCATCACAAAGTACCACACACTGGGTGGCTTAAACAATGGGAATTTGTTATCTCAGTTGTGGAGGCTAGAAGTCTGAGATCAAGTTGTTGGCAAGGCCACTTCCTTCTGAGGGCTGTGAAGGAGGATCAGTCACCTTCTGGTGGTTGGCTGGCAATCACTGACACTGCTGATGATATAGAAACCTCATCCGTATCTCTGCTTCATCATCACATGGCATTCTCCCTGTGTGCCTGGCTGTCTTCAAATCTCCCCTTTTTATAGAAACACTGGTTATATTGGATTACCTTACTTCAGTACGACCTCATCTTAACTAATCACATCTGTAACAACCCTATTTCCAAATAAGGTCACATTCTGAGCTACTGTGGGTTGCAGTTCAGCAGATGGATTTTTTAGGGGGGCACAATTCAATCCATAACAGGTGAATGTGAGGATTAAGTGAAATAATACATCTAGGAGCTTGGCATAGTGCTCAGCATATAGTAGGCATTCAAAACTGTTCATCATTCCTATTATCATGACATCTGTCATTATGGTAATTTGCTGTGACCACCATGTCCCTGGCTCCTTCCAAGGAGCCTCCTCTTTGTTTCTCCCAGGGATAAAGACAGAGCCTGCACCTTCTGTTGAAGCTCTCATAAGCTGATACACTCCCCCACACTGCTTTTCTTAAGGAAATAGCTATTTTTTCCCTGACTTGATGAAGTCAAACTTGCAAGCTTTGGAAGGTTAGGCATCAATTCAAACAAATTGCTAAACCACATTATTTTGATCTTTCAAATTTATCTGACAGCAGAAGGAGTAGGTTTCTTTCCTGTGCTGTACATTGTCTGCAGTCATTTGTAATTGTATTTAAATTAAAGGGGGAAGGGCAGCCAAGCAACGCCTAACAGCACAAGATTTGGAGACACTTGCATTTAGATCAGAAGACCTAGAATGTAATTCTGAACCAGGTTCACCAGTTATGCACTGTGGGACCCCAACATAGCCACTTTGCCTTTCTGAGCTATAATTTTGTAATTCATTCAATCAGCAAATATATTTCATGGACTAAGTGCTGGGTCTTGTAGACACCAGGGGTACAGAGAGAATTACAGGCCCCACTGTCAAGGGGCTCAGAGTCCAGCAGGAGGAGGCAGATAGACACACAAATAATCCAGTGTAGAGGGGAACCGTTACATCCTTCACTATTAATATGGGGATGGTAGTACCTGCTCTCTCTCTGATGCATCTCACCTGGTTGTTCCCATTGTGAGCCCCTTGGGGGCAAAACCTTACATCTTACTACTCCTACCTGGCCCTGGTCTGGCTTACTGGAGGTGCAATGAATGCTGGTTGAATTAATTGGATACCTAAATGCTTAAGAATATGGACTTTGAGTCAGTCAGACTTGGTAGCCTTGCATAAACTCTCACTTACTACCTGAAGGATCCTGAGTAAATCATTGAACTTTGCTGAGCCTGTTTCTTTAATCTATGACATGTCATTAATTATTTAAATCATCTGTTCATTAAACAAATATTTATCAGGCACCTACTATGTCCCAGGCACCCAGTTCTAAGCCTTAGAGATAAAGCAGAAAATAAAACAGACAATAAATAAGTAAAATATGTAGTATGTCAGATGGGGCTAGATGTTGTGGAGAAGGATGAGTAGAGGGGGGCTGGGTGGATGGGGAGGGAGTTGCAATTTAAAGTAGGGTGTCAGGTTAGGTCTCACTGGGAAGGAGAGAGGAGGGGAGAGACCTGACATAGGTGAGCAAGCCAGATGCAGCTCACTGGAGGAGTGTACCAGGAACTGGGAATTGTACGTCCCCACCATATTCAATAATAAGGGAAAAGTGCTTAGAATGCTTCCTGGGATACAGTAGGAGCTCGTTAATTGATAACTATTATTAGCATGAGTGAATAAATGTAATTGCATTAAGGAAGGAAGATGGGAGAGACTATAAATGCACTCTGTAAACAGGGCAGTCACACAGCAAGGATTATTATTATTATAGTTGTTGTTTATTACTAGCAATTACCTCTCGAAAATGTTTCTGACAATCTGAAGTCACAGAGGGCCCATCAGCAATTGCTTCTGCTGCTCAAGCCCTGGGATTTGAGCCCCAGAGAGTTGCTTATGGGAGAAACGAGAGATTGAGAGGGGAGTAAGGGATGAGTTTTTATGCTGCCTCAGGAAGGGATTCCTCCAACGCATGCGTGCACGTGCACATGCATATGCACATGCGCGCGCGCGCACACACACACACACACACACGCACGTGACCTTGTGTGAATTACCGCTACCAGGTATCACAGCAAGAATTTGGTAATCACTATTAGCAGATTCAAGAAATCTAAGTCCTGTTAATACTTCTGTTGTCAGTTCTGATTATTTATCGGGTTGAAAAAGTCTTTTTAGTTTATAGATGCCTGGAAGGCAACAGAGTAGAAAAGTGTGATTGAATTTCTCAATCATTTGTGAATTTAATCCAACAACATTCACTAGAGGTTATCAGGAATTATTGAGCTTCTACCAGGCATAAAGGGCCAGGTGAAGTACGAGGGGATCAGAGAAAGGAAGGGCTGTGGTCCCTGCAAATCTGGGAGATAGTAATTCGCTGGAGGAGACGAATATGGCTCTCCTACAGGCTACTGCAACTGGCAGGGGTGCATGCAAAATGCACCAGGGACGAGGGAGAAGAGTCCAGAACCCTCCAATCGGGTGTGGGGGTAGGTAAGGAGGACCATTGGTTCTAAAGTTACACATATGGTAACTATAAGGTTATAGTAAAAATTTTCTCTTGAAAATGCTTAAATTTCCCATAAATACACATGGGTGTCTTAGATGGGGTCCTCCAGAAACAAAGCCTAGGACAGGGAATCACATGTCAGTAATTTGTTAACGACGTGTTCTCGGAAGAAACCTGTAAGGGAGAGAAGAAAAAGGAAGAGGCCATGCTCAGATGTGGTTTAAGATGAAGGTGAGCCTCAGCCTGTTCTGGTTGGAAGCCCTGGAGGGTAAATTGCACTGGGTGTTGTACCAATGCATCGGTCATTGCTGCAGGCTGATGGTGTGGGTGTAATTCCCAGGCACCTCCAGGCAGGAGGCACCAATTGCCCAATCCTGTAGGGACTGTAGGGAAGGCAGCAGGTGTGAGCCATTAGCAGGGGCACCTGCAGCAGCTGGGGGATAAGCAAACCTAAGCAGCCCTCTGAAACTGAGCTCAGGAGATCTGGGTGGGACACCATCAGCATCTGCTGCAATTAGCTTTTGTGTGTAATGCTGAGTGGTAATGCTTAGGGCTGCTGGAGCACTGAGCTAGTCAAAAGGGAGGAAGAGGAGGGAGAGCTGAGAGCAGATGCCTTCCACATTAAGGTAACTTTCAAATCCCTAGAGTGAATGGCCACAGGAGAGAACTCAAGTGTTCTTGCTTAGAGGCAGAGTTTACTTGGTTCTGTGTGGATAGTAAACCACTCCAGCCTTCTTACAAGTTAATAGATTTGTTTATTGTTGAGAGGGTGAAATGAGATTATATATATGAAACAGAATGGTATCTCATAGGTATGCAATGATTGTTTGCTGGGTCTTGATTAGACCCACACAAACTCTGCTCTTTGTAAAGTAGCCATTTTAATAGCAGTAGTAATAATAATAGCAATAATGATGATGTAGTTCTTAGGTACTAAACATTATTATTTCCCACAGCCACACTTTGAAAGAAGAAATATTTACCGCCACTCTACAAATGAGGAAACTGAGGCACAGAGATGTAAGTAACTTCTCCAAGGTCACACAGCTCTAAGAGATACATACACTGTGACCTGTTTTTACTTGACCTTTCAAATTTGTAATTCTTGTTATAGTTGATCACTGCCATGTCCTGGGCAATGGTACATTTCATCTGAGTTTGAGGGTGGGCTGGTTAGCCAGAGAATGGAGGGAGAGAGATTAGAGTCTCAAATCAGCTCCTATGTTAAGTTTATGTGTGATGCAATTTCACTGGAACTACCTGGGTCTGGGATGTGCTGGGGACACATGAGGTACAGAGAAAGTTCTGGATGGGTTTTCTGTTGCTCCCGGGCAGCAGACAAGAAAGGAACATGAAAAAGGGACCTCAGAATAGGAAACCGTGGGGTGGCATTGGACGCTAGCATGGGGTCACTGGAACAAGCCCCATGTTCTAGGGCTCCCAGTTGTTATACCACATTTGGACTATTTCAGAGCTTCTAACAAGTTCTCCAGTGACAGCCTTGAGCACAAAGTCAAGAAACAGGCACAATCAGGATAATCTGGGGGATAGAGTCACAACTGGAAGAATGACCAGCCCCAAGTGGTGTCAAATCTTGACTGGGTAGAGTTTTCCTTATTTCTGGATGGAGTTCCCGGTGCCCTGTTTCTTGTCTTTTTCTTTCCCAGATTCAACCTAAAAAAGACTTCTTTTTTTTTTTTTTTTGAGACGGAGTCTCGCTCTGTCGCCCAGGCTGGAGTGCAGTGGCGCAATCTCGGCTCACTGCAAGCTCCGCCTCCCGGGTTCACGCCATTCTCCTGCCTCAGCCTCCCAAGTAGCTGGGACTACAGGCGCCCGCCACTACGCCCGGCTAATTTTTTGTATTTTTAGTAGAGATGGGGTTTCACCGTTTTTTAGCCGGGATGGTCTCGATCTCCTGACCTCGTGATCCACCCGCCTCGGCCTCCCAAAGTGCTGGGATTACAGGCGTGAGCCACCGCGCCCGGCCCCTAAAAAAGACTTCTATGAGTAAATGATGATATCAAATATAAGACACCAATGTCTGGCTGGTGGGAGGCCTGAAGTTTAGTCTCTACATTGGAAAGTAAAACCAGGACCCCAAAAGATCAAACAGGCAGGAGAGATGGGACAACTCTAACAAGATGATATGTAACTAGTATGTATGTGTGTGTGTGTGTGTGTGTGTGTGTGTGTGTGTGTAAAATTATATTTTGACTTAAAAAAACCAAGTGCACAAACTCCAGGATCACAGTAGGGCGAGGCAACAGTGGGGATGAAATAAAGGTGGGTTTGAGCCAACATTGCAAATTCCCCTGGAACGAGGAACCTGTTGGTTTTCTCTGGCTACCTAGTTTGACCTTACTTAGAGTACTTGGAATTCCAGCCAAACTGAGTTTAACTCTATGATGTCCTCCTTTTAGGTAAAAAGTTGGTAGGGTGGGTGGTGGGGTGGTGACTTGTCTAGGGGGTGGGGGGAGCATTTTTTGAGTCTTAGTAGAAATAATTTTTTAAAAATCTTGCAGAAACTTTAAGGGGTATACTGGCTAAGGCTGGATCCCTCTTCACCAGCAACAAAAGCAAATGGATCAATACACTCTGCAAATCGCCATCTGCTGTTCTTCATCACCTTGGTGAGACCAATTAGAAGATAACAGCCATCGGAGGTGAAATGCCTGAACCTAAGGGTGCCAGCCTGTCCTGACAGAGGTTACACTAGGATGTCCAGACCCGCTGCTGGTTGAGAGACACTGGGCAGAGGATGAAGGATGGCTCTATTATTTGGAGGAACTTAATGGGTCACTCTCTTTCCAACTGTGATCGTTCCCACATAGAGTACACCCACCGAGAATGAGGGACAGTCACAGCAAACTTTAGCAAGAATGGAGCCCTCTTCTCATAATCCGAGACATTCCCCAGGAGCCTCTTTCAATTTCCCTATGGTCAAATGCTCTTGACACCTAAAAGCCCCCATCCAAACCCAGTGTACATGCCCTAAGGAACTCCTGGAAAAGCATGGGTTCAATTCTCATAAGGTAAAATGAGAGTCTATTAATTTATTTTATTTCTTTTTTGAGACGGAGTCTCACTCTATTGCTCAGGCTGAAGTACAGAGGCGTAATCAGCCGCAACCTCCTGGGCTCAGGTGATCCTCCCACCTCAGCCTTCCAAGTAGCTGAGACTACAGGCACCTGCCACCATGCCCGGCTAAATTTTGTATTTTTTTGTAGAGACAAGGTCTCATCATGTTGCCCAGGCTGGTCACAAACTCCTAGGCTCAAGCGATCCACCCACCTCAGCCTCCCAAAGTACTAGGATTACAGGCAGAAGCCACTGCACCCAGCTGATTCTGTAAATTTAGCCTGTCATAGGCACCACAATCTCAATGTGCTGTCCTTTTAAAAGACAAATCAGAAGATACATTTACCAAACAGGGTATACTGCTGGTAACAGCCATCATCTTAGCCTGACATACCCAAAGGATTTGTCGACCTTGAGATCTGGGAGGTCACCCTTGTTTTAAGAGACTGGAAACTGGAAAGAGTTTAAAAAAAAAAAAAAAGATCACCTGAAGAACTTTAAGGCTTTGATTTTCACCTGAAGACTTAGCCAGTGTTTCCAAGCATGTGCTGAAAGGTTATGGTCTCCTGACGATGAATTTAGTGCATCTTGATTAGGAAAGCCAAATGAAAGGAGTCTGTTCAGCCACAGCACACTGACGTGTTGAGCGTTGGGAAGAGGGGCCTGGTATTGCATCCTTGCTCCCACCACATGCACAGGAGGGTTCCCCACAGGGTGGCTACCTTGCAATTATTGATCCAGCAAGTTAGGATGGCTCCTTGGTCTTTACTCCCCTAAGCGAAACCGTCTTTCCTCCAGAGGCCTTGGGCAGACCTTGGATACTGCCTAGCAATTGTTCCTCTACTTGTCCATTCCCACTGCTATTGAATGAGGGGCTCTTGGGGCCAGGGACCGTATGTTATTCCTCTCTATACTCCATACACCCAGTGCGGGGCTTGCTAGAGGAGTGAATGAATGTAGGAGCAAATCCATTGCTGACAGGTTTAAACCACAAACGTGTGTGTGTGGCCCCAAGCAATTCTCAGGTTGCTATTTAAGAATCTCTCAGACTGCTGTTTAATATGTGAATTCCTGAGCTTTACTGTAAGACCACAGAATCAGAAGTTATGGGGTGGGGCCAGGGAACCTGCATTTTAAATGAAGCGCCCTGGAAGATTCTCATGCCTTTAGAAGGTTAAGAATCATTGCTCTAATGATGAGCTCTGCTGAGCTGGGTTCCAAGCCCTGTCATTTTCAGAAAAGGGGATTCTCAGAATGCTCTGGGCTTTTGAGATTTAAATAGCCAATTCTAGCCTGAGTTTCCTGGTTGCATAATTGACAGAAGAGGGGGATGGAGGAGGGGAAGCATCCTGAGACTTCTAAACCATGGAGGGCCAATCCCAGGGCTGAACATCAGAGAGATGTACGGCACCCCCAAGTCATCAGAGGGCCACAGGGACATGGAATCCCACTTCAGAGTGTTCCCTGAGGAGAGTCACTGGGAGCAGAGCTTCTAAGAAGATAAAACAGAACTTGCCTTGAGTTAAGGTGGATTCCCAACCTAGGATGCATGGAAGACATTTCTTCATCCATATGCCAAGCCGGGACCACTGGCCCAGCTCCCGGCAGAGAGTGTGCATATTGAATCAATTGAAATTGAGTCATGGATATAATTAATTTAATGTGTTTAAACGATTTCCCATATAGTAAACATGCTAAATGAGGGGGCACCCAGACTAAGATGTCTGCCTGAGAGTGGAAAAATGGATACTGTGTGTGCTGTATAATGAAAATCCTTCAGCAAATGGAAAATGCTTCCATTTATTTCCACCTCCCATGTTGTTTTCCTTTCTAACTCTTTATTTATAGCTGAACTTGGCCTTCTGTAGTCTCCTTGGACCACAGAGACACTTTTTATTTTGTCAGAAGATGTCCTTTTTGCTGTGACCAGAAGACAATTTTAACGAAACCTGTCTACAACCCAGTGACAAGCACCTATTAATATGTGACAAAGGAGATAGGAGGAAGGTAACATGGAGTGCAGGACTGTTTCACTGTTGCGGTCTGTCTCCACTAAAGGGGCACTTATGCAAAGAAAAGGGAGATGGTGTTGAGTGGGTGGAGGCAGGGCCTGTCCAGCTACCATTCCAGCTCTGCCAAACCATCTTGCTGCGTGGCTCTGAAGGAGTCATTTTCCTTTTCTGGACCTCAGACACTCATCTACACCACAAAAGCATTGAATTTGAGGATATTTAAGACAACTTTCAGTTCTGATGTTCACTGAGTTCTGAGTCACAAGCTGGAGCAGACAAAAATAGGTGCCAAGGAATTTCCCATTAAAAAGAAACTCATCCTCAAGCCGTGGAGAACATTTCAGGCAGTCTATCTAATTGCTCATCAAGTAAGGATTATGTATTATTTGGCTTAGATGAAAGGGAGCATTTAGAAGTGGTTATAAATGATCTCCAACTAAGATCTATCAGGCACCTAGGCAAAATGCAGAGTTCTAGGATTGTGAAGGGTGGCAAAATGCTTTCTAGATTCTGTAGCTCTCTATTCATCCATTTCAACTTTGGATACTTTGAATTCATTTTGAAACAGCCCTGCCAAAATGCTACCCGTGGGACCCTGGGTGAATCCCACCCCTTTCTGAGTCTCAGTCCATGAACTTGTAGGATGAGGAGAAAGGACTTTGGAGGTATTCTAATGGGTGTTCTGTCCAGCATTTCTGAGGGAGGGATCTCAGGGGCTGCAGGGGTGGGGAGAGGGCTGCAGGAAGAGGGGGCTGAACAGGCAGAGTTCAGGGCTCCTTCTCTGTTCAACTGAGAAGCTCTTCTTTAATCTGTTTTATATACCAGGCTCCATGTGAGATTTTATAACAAGGAGTTCTGAGAATAAAAATAATTCTTTAAGCTACTGGTCTGAGGAAAGCTGTTAAAGTTTCCAGCCTGAATCTAGGCTGTGCTACAGAAATGGACTTCGCCAATACATTGTGGGAGTGAATTTTTCAGAGCCTTTAGTCCAGAATGGCTCTGCTTGGGGATTTTGGAAATCGACTTCATTTGAGCAAACCTCAGTGCCACCCAAGTGCCTCCCCACTGCCCCCCAGCAGTGGTCTCAAACCCTGGTGTGCATTAGAACCACCTGCAGGGTTTGTTAAAACACAGATGGCTGGGCCCCACCCCGAGAGGTTCTGATTTAATGGGCCCATGTGGGGCCTGGGAATGTGCATCTCTAACAAGCTCCCAGATGATGCAGACCACACTTTGGGAATGGTTGGTCTGGAAGATAAAGGCCAGTCTCCTTAGCATGTCCCTCCAGAAATGGACCCCAACTTCCCTTCCCAGCCTCCTTATCCAGCTTGCCAGTGTTCCAGCCCAACTAACTGTCCTTCCCTCCCTCTTGCATTTCTTCCTTGCTCACCATGCTCCCTCTGGCCAGCCCCTGTCTTCATGTCTAACTCCTGCCCACAGTTCAAGGCATGGGTCAAATGCCACCCCTTCCAAAAAACCTACCCTGACTTTTTCACTAAAGGTCACAGAAATCCCTCTGGGCTCGGGCTTGGGCTCAAATAGTTTCTCCCACAGTGCCAAGCACTTTTAACCTCTCATTGTTTTTGTCTAGGTCTTGCCCGTGCATGTGAGCCACAGGCTCTAGGACAGGGAGCCCATCTTACCTTGGCATCCACACCATTATCCACACCTTCGGCACCTGCACAGGTTCCAGCCCACCAGACCAACAATATAAGCCTCAGCACAGGCATGCATGAATATGCATATTCAAGAAATGCCCCAGCCAGCTCAGCTTATCTACCCTTTATTCCTCAAGACAGACTGACTCTATTCTGAATCTGTAAATTAGAACACAGGACAGCACTTTAGCCCACTCAACGTATTCTTCAGATGAATTTTCCATATTTTCTGGAGCAGAGACAGTGACAAATAACTACCACTTTGGTCCATTACCAGAAGGTCACTACCTTCTGCAGCAATTAAGAGCTAGACCAAAGTTCAAATCCCACTTGACCCTGATTAGCTATAGTACTTAAATGCTCTGAGTTCCAGGTTCCTCACTGTTCATGGGAATAATAAGAGCACCTACTTCCTATGGATGGCATAAGGATATGGTGTAATCATTATTAACAGTAACAATAGAATTTATTGAGTGCCTGCTATGTGCCTAGCACTAGGCATACATTATTGAGTCTAACTACATTATGTATTTAGCACAATGTCTAGCACATAATACGCAATCAAGAAGTATTAGCCATATTATCATTGCTTATTTTCCCAACTTCCATGCAAGATTTATATTATTATCCCCATTTCCCGGATGAGAAACTTGAGGCTCAGAGCAAGTAGCTTGCTTAATAAATATTAAAAGGTTGTATTATGTAATGTGTAATCTTTAAAACTAGCTTACAAGGTAAGTATGATTTCCATTGTGTGAATGAAAACTGTAGTTCAAAGAAGGTAACTTGTAAATGAAGGCCCAGGATTTGAACCTGATTTTGGGTCCAGAGCTTCTCCTGGCCCACCCCAGCCCACCATCTGGTAAACTGTGCCTGCACTGTGTGCGCAGTCAACTTTCTATGCCCTTTTTTTTTCTTTTGAGATGGAGTTTTGCTCTTGTGGCCCAGGCTGGAGTGCAATGACGCGATCTCAGCTCACTGCAACCTCTGCTTCCCGGGTTCAAGCGATTCTCCTGCCTCAGCCTCCCGAGTAGCTGGGATTACGGGCATGTGCCACCACGCCCAGCTAATTTTGTATTTTTAGTAGAGACAGGGTTTCACCATGTTGGTCAGGCTGCTCTCGAACTCCTAACCTCAGGTGATCCACCCGCCTCAGCCTCCCAAAGTGTTGGGATTACAGGCGTGAGCCACCATGCCCGGCCTCTATGCCCTTTCTTTCTTTTTCTTTTCTTTTTTTCAGAACAGAAAGAAAACTGTTTTATTACACAATTAAACTTGAATGTGGCATGCATCATAGTCAATCTGCTTAAGAGACTGCAGAGACAGAAAGATGGTCACCAAAATTAGTCCATAAGAGGAAGAATTTACAGCACCATGTCATACATAGTTCATCCTAAATTCACATGGAGATTGAAGAGGCTATCTGTGTGTGCTAATTGTTTATATTCAATGACAAAAAAACTTTTCACATCTTCATAACAGGAGGTAGTTTAGCAGCTTGAAGCCAGGTACTGTGCCAGGGAGCACAGAGCCACTGCTCTAAAATGTAAATAGCCAAAAGGATAGAACGCTTTTCAACCATTTTTGTAGCAGAGTGAAAGCCTACCTTCAGCAAGTACCTGGCTCTATGCCCTTTCTTATCCATGAGTCACAGAGAAGCATTTTCCCAATGTGTCTGAGAGCACACACTGCCCCTGCCCCTTGTCTGAACAGCCCTGCAATCCTAGGGCCTGCAATTAGTTATTTCAATGATCAGAGATAACAGATCACATAACAGAAAGCCTGTAACAGCCCCTCTTTTGCTTTGCATGTTTACAAGGAACACTAAGGAAAACAGCCCAGAGGCATGGGACTGACCGTGACCCCGAAGAAGTTGGTCTCGTTCATGGCATTGAGGATGATCCTGCCCAGCGTGTGGTCCGTGTAGTTGAAGTCCTGGATCCGCTGGTGCCGGCTGCTGGCATGCAGTGTCTCCATGGCCCTCTGCAGTGTCTTGGCGATGACCCAGATGCCATCGTAGGCGTACCCGTGGAACTTGCTGGGCCCCACGCCTGACCGCTTGTTGTTGTACTCTCTCTCATACTGCTGTGGAGTCTGGAAAAACAGGGGATTGGGGGAATCCCAAGTTATACTCGGCAGGGACATCAGGTGCCTGATGCCGAGAAGAGCTGCTATTCTTCAATGCCCACAGGGTGCCAGGTACAGTGCTAGATTCTACGTGCATTATCTCATTTAACCCTCACAACAACCTCATAAGGTGGGTACTGTTATTGTCCCCATTTTACAGACCCCCCATTTTCAGGGGGGTCAACTTGCTTAGTTCCACAAAGCTAGTGAGTGACAAGACTGAGATTTAAACTGTCTTTTGGCAAGACTAGAGAGAGGGGATAATACACCCTAACCAGGCCTTTGCCTCTAAACTTGCAGGGCCTGGGGTGAGGTAGAGGCCCATATCCCGTATGTCTAAATGTTAAAGTTATAGCATATGAACAAACTGTTCAAAAATATTCTCTATCTCCTCATCGTAATAAATACACCTTCCTAGGGATCTGGAAGGCCAAGCTGGAATTCAGAATTCTGGGACTTCTCTGAGTTTCAGCAGCACAGAGGGAGCTGACAGTGTGCTGCTCAGCCCACCCCTCCCCTTCCCTTCCCACCCCTCTCCATCCTGCAGCCCAGCCAGGCTCAGTCCATACCTCCTTCCCCTTCTAGCATCAGTAGCTCCCTGTACCCTCAAAGGCACAGTCTACCCTCAAGAACTGGGGCAAGAGGCTCCCTAGACCCTGGAAGTGGCTCCAGCTTATGGGTTGAGAATTCAGGGCACAGTCTGGAAGCTGGAAGGGGTGCAGGTCTGAGTGGGCTGTGTCCGTGGCTTGCAGATTCTGGGCCCCGAGGGGCCTGAATGAGGACCTCTTAGAGCATGTGACCCAGGGCAAGGCCCAGTTGCTCAGGTGTCAGGCAGCATCCATCCCTCCTGCTATTCCATCTACCTTCCATAATATAACAGTCCGAATAGGCCAGCATTGAAAAAAAGATTTTTTTTTCTCCCATTGAGCTGAATTTCATAAAGGAATTTCATTGGTGATATTAACATTTTGATTGTGGCCACAAAGTAACGAAACTGCCTTTTTACTCCAGACCTTGGAACTTGCACTTCCAGATGAATGCCACCCTGGGGGACCCATTACCCTCAGCTCCTTCATGGGTCTTTTTTCAAATCACTTCTGAACTCCTCTGCCAGAAATGTCATCAGGGCCCACGGCTTGGTCTTTGGAAAAACCCTCCTTGGGGAAAAATCACACACAGGACAATTGACTCTTTGTCAGTTTATACTGAGAAGGGCCCCTTAGGGACAGTCACGGGCATGCAGTCAGTCTATAGCCTGAGGCACAGAGAGGTGCAGAGACATGTCCAAGGTTACACAGCCTGTGTGTGTGTGGTGGAGGGAGGGGGGGCGCGGCACCAGACTACCTTCCCATTTCATCTTGGCTACTTCTTTCCTCTTTGATTTCTAAAGTCATAATTGCTTTTTGAAAACCACCACAAGTTGTTTGGGCCATGTCTAGTGTTTTTAAGGAAGGTGGTGGAGCTGGGCCATCAAAGACTGTGTCTTCCGTGGGTGGAGCCCACCGGGGCCAAGAAGCCAAGTCTCTTGTGGGGTCACCCACACAGATGCCTGGGGATGAGTGCCAAGTGCCCCCGGCTGTGAACCTTGCAGGCAATGAATTCTGCATGACCAAATGTGAATGAATCCTGGCCGGGAGTCTGCCTCCTCCTGTTTCAGGGTCCTCCTGGAAGGCTCAGGTTTGATCTGTTTGCAGCTTTCCTTGGAAATGCATCCTCTCTAGCTACCACCACTCTGCTCATCACTCAAGATACACAGTGGGCAGAAACTCCCCCCAAATCCCAGGTTCCTCAAAGAGACCAGCATTTCTAGTCCAGCTCAGCTCCCTGAGTTCGTCCTGTTACTCACATTCCTCCACCCGCCCACACTCCATGCCCGCTGGCTCTTGAAGCTCATAGTCATCCCCGCCACTTTCACTCCTCCTAGAGAAGGAGGAAACAGTCCACTATGAAGCTCTGTCTCTTTAAACCTTTTGGGTCCCTTGATCACATCAAGTTGGCTTGCACCTCAGGGCTTTGCACAAGCTGTTTCTCTGCCAGAAAGCTCCTTGCCCAGCTCTTGGCATGATAATTCTCAGCATTCAAATGTCAGCACCTGTCACTTCTCAGGGATGGCTTCCTTGACCCACCCGTTGTAAAAGCCCCCAGCCTGAGGCCAGGGGTTTTTATCTTCTTTATTGCACTTGTCACTCCCTGCAATTTTCCTCCTTATGTGTTTACTTGCTTATGGTCTGTGGTTTCACTCCTCCCTTCCCACCCACCTAGAATTAAGCTCCATGAGGTCGGAGATGTGATCTGTCTTGATCACTGAGGTACCACCAGAATCTCAAACAATACCTGCTTAGGCCCTTTTTAGGCCTCAGTTTCTCTGTCTGTAAAACACAGGAGCACACCTATTCACACATTGTAGAGCAAAATCGTTCTTCCCAAATACAAAAAGTTGTAATCCTACTGTGTATGAAAGTAGTCATTTCCCTGCATCCTTGACAATAGGTATTTTCATTTTTAACTCAATTGTCAGTTTGTTAAGAAAAACATATATATCTGTTAAGAAAAAAGTATTCTTTTAATCTTAATTTGCATTTCTTTAATGATTAGAATGAGCTTATTTTAAATATTAACCAGCAATCTTAATTTTTTAGGTGAATTTCCTAATTATGTTAGGTGAATTTCCTATACCATCTTGCTATGGTGATGTCACATCATTTAATGTTTTGTTTTAGTGTCTCCTTGTTATTTTTCCATCTTTTACTACTTGGCTGTATTTTCTTTGATTTTTTAAAATGTGATTTGTGTCTATTTCTGGTTGTTAACTACTGACCATTTTAAAAGGATTTAAACAGTACTTGGATGCGTGTTTCTTTAATTAATTGCGTTAAGCATCACAGAAATGAGGCCCCTTTGACTTCTCTTTTGGATTTTGCTCCTATGAGCTTTCTCCAATGCACGCAATGGCATTCGAGGGTTGGTGGTGTCCATTTTTGAATTCCCTTGTTCGACCTAATGACTACATTCAGATGACATTTCTACAACACCTCCCTGACCAGAACACGACACTGGAGCAGCCTTCAAGGTTTCTATGATCCTTTAAAAGTGGGAGGTCCAGACTTGAGGTGAACATTCCCAGTGTGGTCTCACTGGGTGGTAACTGAGTGTAATTTTAAACTTCCTTGATATAGTTTTGTTTTGTTTTGTGGGACACTAAGGGGATCAAGATCATATTGTCTATTGGATTTGGCCTTGAGGTCAACAAAAGTCCCTATATAAACTTTACATATGCCACTTGTAAACTCATCTATCTCAAAAAACTGTCCTTCCCGGGTACAAGGATCAGGAGGAGGGCCAAGAACACTGGAAACACGGCTCTTTACCAGATTTCTGTGGGTAGAGTCCTTGGAATCAGACACAGGTGTAGCTAAGCCCTGAAAGGTGACCTCAGTTCTTGCTGTCTTTGGAAGCACCAGGTTAAAGAAGTCGTTGCTGCCACATGATATCCCAGGCCATTCATCATTGTTCCCAGGCGATGCCAGCACCAACTCCCTTGGGCAAGACAATGACAGCAGGAAGAAACGCACTCACAATTGTTGGAGAAAAAGTTCTTAAAGCAGGCCTCCAATTATTCAAGGCAGAAGAATTTCTTCCATCGTAAAGCTGACACCGAATGCTGATTAATTACCATCCTCCGAGGTCAAGTTTATCGTGAGATGCTAAAAGTTTCTGAGAAAATAACTTATGCAGATAGTCCCAATTACTGATAGGTTGGCCTCCAGAATATTTTTTAAAGGCATTTGTTGGAACTTGGAACATATTTTCCCACAGACACTATGTTATAAATAGTGGTTAGGTCCCAAGGCTAGCCCACACAAGCTTGCTAACCTACAATGTGACTAAACCTTATGAGTCTGTCATCCCAACAGAAATGAGCTGAGTCCTTCTTCCTGGGAGAGGGGAGCCTCATGGACAGAAGAGAGGGCAGGAGAAGGATACATCCTCTTCCACATCTGCAACTGATCCCCACAGAGGTGAAACTGGCAGACTTTCTCGCTGGCATCCCTGTGGGAGGTTTGAATCACAGAGTCTCATTTGGAAGTACACGAGAGAATATTTAGTTTGCTGGTTCCCGTGCTGCCGTTTGTAAATCACTTGGGAAGCTTGTTAAAAATGCAGATGCCACGGCTGGGCACGGTGTCCCACGCCTATAATCTCAGCACTTTGGGAGGCCGAGGCAGGTGGATCACCTGAAGTCAGGAGTTCAAGACCAGCCTGGCCAACCTGGCAAAACCCCATCTCTACTAAAAATACAAAAAGTTAGCTGCGCGTGGTGGCAGGTGTCTGTAATCCCAGCTACTCAGGAGGCTGAGACACAAGAATCATTTGAACCCAGGAGGCAGAGGTTGCAGTGAGCCGAGATTGCATCATTGCACTCCAGCCTGGGTGACAGAGTGAGACTCCATCTCAAAAACAAAATACAAACAACCAAAAGAACAGATGCCAGGGATACATTTTGGTTCAGTATATCAGTGAGTGAGTTAACTTAGGAATCTGTATTTTTAAAAACCTTCTCAGATTTCAAGCATACAAAAATTGGTAACCACTGATGAAGTCCCTCCTGCGATCTGATTATTGGATAATTATTGGATCTTTTCAGTAGCAACTTCCAGGTGTTTGCTGAGTTTCTTCTTATACTCCTCCAGTATTGGGAAGCTCACTATGCCTCTCAGGCAGAACTTTCCACTTAGGGAATGGCTGATGTTGAGGAGACTGTTCTTCCAGATGCAGAGTTTGCACCTCTCTCCCTGAAACTTGTATTCGCATGCTACGTGTTCCTGCGGAGCCACAATACACACATCTGCTCCCTTTATACACAACAGCCCCTCAAAGAGCCAAAGACAGGGAGATGCCTCCCCTTTTCTAATGCATTCTCCTTCTTTTAAGCAAAATAATCTCAGTTCAGACTTCCACTCTATGATGAAATCGCTTATATCAGACCAAAGCTCCCATCAAGAACATTTAGAAAAGCAGAATAAAATATTAAAATAGCTATTCAAAGACATCAGAAAACAAGCAGGACAGCTAGGACTGAGAATCCATCATTCTGGAGAGAAGATAAATGCTTTGAGATGGGCCCCAAATTCTTTGCTGTTTTCCTTTTGAGGCATTTTCTGATTTGTAAGTAAGAAGGCTAGTCACAGAAACAGAAAGCATTGGATCAGAGTTTTCAGCAGTCCCTCAGGGATAGGAAGCCAAAAACTGTAGTTCTGGACTACCAAGGTAGCAAGACTTGCATGGCCAAGGTGCCAGAGTAAAGGGAACCATAAAAAAGTGAGCCTGGTATTAAGACTGGCATTTTTACTTAAAATATTTGATAATTAAGCTGCATAAAGCAAGAGGCTGAGAAGCCAAGCAAAAGAGCCAAGAAAACAAACAGAACTATTTAGAGTTTAATAGTATTGGGAAAATAAAAATTGGAGTCCAGGGTCAGTAAATATCCCAGGATTTCAGTTGAGAACATTGAAGGGTCAAACACTAGGAATCAGGGCAAACCAAAATAGATTGGGCCTTACAAAAACTGAAACCGAACCTGGAATCATCTCAGTTCTTCACTGGATTAAGGCAATTTGCCACTACTCTAACTACTTGCTTGAAGAGTAATACATTTTCCCTGGAGAAAGAAAACACTATCTGTAGCCTCTACAATTTTTCATACACAACACATTTAATTAAAATGTACTAGGTACACCAGGAAATAGGTCCAGATAATTGTTTTAAAAGAAAAGCAAGGAAGAAAAAGAAGAGAAAAGTATATGGAATGGAAACAAATTCATAGGTGATCCAAATCTTGACATTATTAGACATGAACTTTAAAATAGCAAGGTTGGCGGGAATGGTGGCTCACGCCTGTATTCCCAGCACTTGGGAAGGCTGAGGTGGGCAGATCACCTGAGGTCAGGAGTTCAAGACCAGCCTGGCCAACATGGGAAAAAAATTAGCCAGGCATGGTGGCGGGCACCTGTAATTCCAGCTACTTGGAAGGCTGAGGCAAGAGAATTGCTTGAACCTGGGAGGTGCAGTGAGCCAAGATCACACCGCTGCACTCTGGCCTCGGTGACAGAGCAAGACTCTATCTCTAAAATAAAATAAAATAAAATAGCAAGGTTTGTATGTTCAAGAAAATTGATTAAAAGATGCAGAATGTCATCAGAGAACTGAATACTATAAAAGAAAAAATATAAAAATTCTAAAAATAAAAAATACAACAATTGAAATAAAGAATTCAATAGATAGGTGAAACAACATATTAGACACAGCAGAAAGTAGATTAGTGAACCAAATACAGGTTTGTATTCAGACTGAAACATAGGGAGAAAAAAAGTTTGGAAAATAAGAAATGAACATAAGAGATACATGGAATATGTTGAAAAAGTATAATATATGTATAATTGTGTCCTAGAAGGTGAGAAAAGAGAGACTAGACAGAAGCAATATTTCAAAGGATACTATTCTATTTCTCCAACACACATCAATACACAGATTCATGAAATCCTATGGAGCTCTATGAACTCCAGGCAAGATGAACACAAAGGAAAGTTCACTTCAGCACAGTGTAGTAAAACTGCCAAAGACCAAATCAAAAACAAAATCTTAAAATAACTAGAGGAAAAAAAGATGCATTACTTCAAAAGAGCAATAAGTCAGACAGCAGACTCAATAGAAACAATGGAAGCCAGAAGACAATGGAATGACATCTTCAGTGCCAAAAGAAAATTATAGGCCATCTAAAATCCTCTATCTAGTCAATACATCTCTCAATATTAAAGGTAAAATAAATTTCAGACAGCCAGACACTTGGAAGATTTGCTTCCAGAAGAGTCACAGTAAAAGAAAGACCAAGGAGAAGTTCTTCTGGCAGAAAAATAATAGTAACAATAAGCAGAAAAATAGAAATGTGGGAAGGAAAAAAGTAATAGGAAGTGTAAATGTGTTAGTAGATCTAAATGAAAAATGACATCAGTGCCAAGAAAATCTTAAAGAAGAACAAAGATTAAGGATTTATACTACAAAGTATCAAATCATACTTCAGTAATTAAAACAGGGTGATATTGATTAAAAGATAGATAAGTAGACCAAAGGAAGATAAATGGAAGTTCAGAAGCTTGTGTATATATCCACACTATATGCAGTTGTTTAATTTATGACAAAGGTGACACTGTAGCCTGAGTGGTGGGATGGGGGATTATGGCCTTTTCAATAAATAGTCCTGAATCAATTGATTATTCATAAAATTAAATATATTATTTCAGACCATACATAAAATTAATTTCAAGTAAATTCTATGTCTAAATGTGAAAGATATAACAAAACTTCTAAATGACAAGATAGGAAAATATCTTCACGAGCATGGGTGGGTGTATTAGGCCGTTCTTGCATTGCTATAAAGAAATACCTGAGACTAGATAATTTATAAAGAAAGGAGGCTTAATTGGCTCATGATTCTCCAGGTGCAGAATCAAGAATCGTGGTGCTGGCATCTGCTTCTGGTAAGGGCCTCAGGAAGCTTTCAATCATGGCAGAAGCCAAAGGACAGTAGGTGTGGCACATGGCAAGAATGGAGCAAGAGAGCAAGGGGGAAGGTGTCACACACCTTAAACAGCCAGATCTCACATGAACTCAGCGTGAGAACTCACTTGCTACCAAAGGGATGGTGCTAAACCATTCAGGGGGGATCCACTCCCATGATCCCATCACTTCTCACCAGGCCCTACCTCCAACATTGGGAATTACATTTTGACATGAGATTTGGAGGGGACGAACATCCAAACCAAATCATCAAGACAGGGTGATTTTCAGAAAAAACTAAAATAACAAAACCAAATACTGCTTCTGCCTAGTCTCTCTTTCCTCCCTTTCCAGGACACAGTTATACATATATTATACTTTTTCAACATATCCCATGTGTCTCATATGTTCATTTCTTATTTTCTGACTTTTTTCTCCCCATCCTGAAAATGCTTAAACAAGGCATAAATATACTAATCACAAAGAAGACTAATACATTGGATTACATTAAGATTAGGAATATCTATTCATCAAAATACATCGAGAGTGAAAAGATAAGCCACAGAATAGGAGAAGATATAAATAATACATATAACTGTCAAATAATTCATATCCAGAATCTAAAAAGGAATTCTACAAATCAGTAAGAAACAGGCAGAGTATCCAACAGGAAAAATGGGCAAAAGACTTGAATGGGCAATTCACAAAAAAGGGTATCAAAATGGCCAATGAAGATATGAAAACATGTCCAACTTCATTAGTCATCAGGGAAATGCAAATTTAAACTAAAACAAGACACCAACCACTACACACCCACTAGTTTGGCTAAAATTAAAAAGCTGACACACCAAAAGTTGTTGAGCATGTGAACCAACTGGAACTCTCAATCACTGCTTGCGGATGTGTAAATTGGTATAACCACTTTAGAAAGCTGTTTGTCACAGAGTCTACTAAAGCTGAACATATGGCTACTCTGACTCAGAATTCCACCCCAAGTATGCACCCAATAGTAATGTGCACATATGTTCACCAAAATATATCAAATGCCCAGAATTAAATCAAACAAAATAAGTACAATAATCCTTTTTTCTTCTTTTTAATTGAGATGGAGTCTCACTTTGTTGCTCAGGCTGGAATGCAGTGATGTAATCTTGGCTCACTATAACCTCCGCCTCCTGGGTTCAAGCGATCCTCCTGCCTCAGCCTCCCAAGTAGCTGAGACTACAGGCATGTGCCATCATGCCCGGCTAATTTTTGTATTTTTAATAGAGATGGGGTTTCACTATGTTGGCCAGGCTGGTCTTGAACTCCTGACCTCAAGTGATTCACCTGCGTCAGCCTCCCCAAGTGCTGGGATTACAAGTGTGAGTCACTGCGCCCAGCCAATATGTGCAATAATTCTACACAGAAAACTATAAAACATTTCTGAGAGAAATTAAAGAAGACCTAACTAAATGCAGGGATATACACAATTCATGGATTGGAAGACTTTAATATTAAGATGTCAGTTTTCCCTAAATTGATCTACAGATTCAGTAAAATCCCAATAAAAACCAGAGAAAGTATGTATGTATGTGTGTATAAACTGGCAATCTGTTTTAAAAATGTATATAGAAATGCAAAGAGACAAGAATAGCCAAGACAGTTTTGACGAACTAAGATGGAGAACCTATATGAGTAGTTATCAAGACTTATTATAAAGCTACAAAAATTAAGATGTTTTGGTGAAAAACAATGGAAAAGAAAAAGATAAAGTTTAGAAACAGAGCTCTCCCTCTCCCTCGCCCTCTCGCTCTCCGTCTCGCTCTCGCTCTCGCTCTCCGTCTCGCTCTCGCTCTCCGTCTCCCTCTTTCTACAGTCTCCCTCTCTTGCAGAGCCTGGGCAGTACTGCCGTGATCTCGGCTCGCTGCAACCTCCCTGCCTCGGGCTCCGGTGATTCTCCTGCCTCGGCCTGCCTAGTGCCTGGGATTCCAGGCACTCGCCGCCACTCCTGACTGGTTTTTGTATTTTTGGTGGAGACGGGGTTTCGCTGTGTTGACCGGGCTGGTGTCCAGCTCCTGGCCTCGGGTGATCTGCCCGCCTCGGCCTCCCAAGGTGCTGGGATTGCAGATGGAGTCTCGCTCACTCAACGCTCAATGTTGCCCAAGCTGGAGTGCAGTGGCGTGATCTTGGCTCGCTACAACCTCCACCTCCCAGCCACCTGCCTTGGCCTCCCAAAGTGCTAAGATTACAGCCTCTGCCCGCCCGCCACCCCGTCTAGGAAGTGAGCAGCGTCTCTGCCTGGCAGCCCATCGTCTGGGATGTGAGGAGCCCCTCTGCCCGGCCGCCCCGTCTGGGAGGTGAGGAGCGCCTCTGCCCGGCCGCCATCCCGTCTAGGAATTGAGGAGCATCTCTACCTGGCCACCCATCATCTGGGATGTGAGGAGCGCCTCTGCCTGGCCGCCCCGTCTGGGAAGTGAGGAGCGCCTCTTCCCGGCCGCCCCGTCTGGGAGGAAGTGAGGAGTACCTCAGCCCAGCTGCCCCGAATGGGAAGTGAGGAGCGCCTCTGCCTGGCCGCCCCCTCTGGGAAGTGAGGAGCGCCTCTGCCCTGCTGCCCTGTCTGGGAGGAAGTGAGGAGCGCCTCTGGCCGGCTGCCCCAAATGGGAACTGAGGAGCGCCTCTGCCTGGCCGCCCCCATCTGGGAAGTGAGGAGTGCCTCTGCCCAGCCGCCCCGTCTGGGAGGTGGGGGGCGCCTCTGCCCGGCCGCCCTGTCTGGGAAGTGAGGAGTGCCTCTGCCAAGCCGCCCCGTCTGGGAAGTGTACCCAACAGCTCCGAAGAGACAGCGACCATCGAGAATGGGCCATGATGACGATGGCAGTTTTGTCGAAAAGAAAAGGGGGAAATGTGGGGAAAAGAAAGAGAGATCAGATTGTTACTGTGTCTGTGTAGAAAGAAGTAGACATAGGAGACTCCATTTTGTTCTGTACTAAGAAAAACTCTTCTGCCTTGGGATGCTGTTAATCTATAACCTTACCCCCAACCCCGTGCTCTCTGAAACATGTGCTGTGTCAACTCAGGGTTAAATGGATTAAGGGCGGTGCAAGATGTGCTTTGTTAAACAGATGCTTGAAGGCAGCATGCTCGTTAAGAGTCATCACCACTCCCTAATCTCAAGTACCCGGGGACACAAACAGGGCCGAAGGCCGCAGGGACCTCTGCCTAGGAAAACCAGAGACCTTTGTTCTTGTGTTTATCTGCTGACCTTCTCTCCACTATTACCCTATGACTCTGCCACATCCCCCTCTCTGAGAAACACCCAAGAATGATCAATAAATACTAAAAAAAAAAAAAAAAAAAAAAAAAAGAAAAATTAAAGCATAAAATGCTTATTAAATAAACAATCAATACGTGATGTGAAAAAAAAAGTTTAGAAACAGAACCAAATATATAAAGTCATTTGCTTTATGACAAAAGTAATATGGCGGCACAGTGTGGGAAAAGATGGACTTTTCAATAAATGATGTTGGGTCAATTAGATATCCATGTAAAAAAAGAAAAGAAGAAAAGGAATCTTGATCATTACCTCACATCCTATACAAAATGTATTTCAGGTTAATTATAGATCTAAATGTGAAAGGTAAAACAATAGAGTTTCTAAAACACAAGATAGGAAAATATCTTCATAGCCTTTGAGTGGGTTCTATTAAAGAATTTCTGTTCATTAAAACACACCAGTTAAAGGACTTCCAGGTAGCTGAAGATGAAGGAGGCTGTGTATAAATTAACTTTCCCAAGTCTCCGCAAACTATACTAGCTAGCTTTGTAGCTACAAACATTCTATACAAAATGATACCACATCTATAATGGAAGACAGAGAACATCAAAACTTTACAGATGACTGAATAAGAAGAGAAAAATTAACACATTTCACTTCTGCGTTTGCCTCACCCATGCCCTGATGCAAGGTTTTGTGGTAAAGGCAGAATGAGAAAACTGTGGCAAAGACAGAAGATGGTGTTTATTTAAGAGTGAACTAGAATAACTACCAGAAAGACGAATCTTCCCTGGTATGGTTTGCATTTGTGTTCCTGCCCAAATCCCATGTCAAATTGCAATCCCCAGTGTTGGAGGAGGAGCGGCCTGCTGGGAGGTGACTGGATCATGGGGCAGGTTTTCCCCTTGCTGTTCTCATGCTAGTGAGTGCGTTCTCACAAGATCGGGTTGTTTAAAAGGGTGTAGCACCTCCCCCTTTGCTCTCTTCCTCCTGCTTCCTTCTGCTCCAGACATGCCTGCTTCCGCTTTGCCTTCTGCCATGATTCTAAGTTTCCTGAGGCCTCCCCAGCCATGCTTCCTGTACAGCCTGTGGAACTGTGAGCCAATTAAACCTCTTTTCTTTATAAATTACCCAGTTTCAGGTGTCTCTTTATAACAGTGTGAGAAAGGACTAATACACTCCCTAAATCTGAAGATACTAAAAAAAGCTGTGGAGTTCAAAAGTTCAAAAGCAGGCATCTGAATGGCAAAGGAAGTCAGAAGAATGGTTACATCTGGCAGTGGGTATTAACTGTAACACATAAAGGCAGTTTCTGAATTGCTACAAATAGTTTTTTTCTTGACCTGGGTGGTAGTTACATGGGTGCTCTCCTTCAATAAAAATAATTAATGAAACCATAAAAGGTAATCCCAATCCTTCCATTGCTCCTCATCTCACATGACCTGGGTTATAAACTCTTCATCGATCTCACTACTCCTTCCTCCTACCCCTAAGGTTCCTATCCTGAAAAGGAAGAGAATTAATATTTGTTGAGCACCTACTATGTGTTTGCACTTGGTAAGATACTTTCTACTGTATAACCTCATCTAATCCTTACAAATCTGTGAGAGAGATATTATTATCCCCATTTTACAGATGAGAGACAAACTGGGAAAGGTTAAATGACTTGCACAACATCACTGTATTACTCTTAGGTTCAGCTGCATTGTAACAGAAAAAACAAATTATCAGTGACTTAAATGAGATAGGTTATTTCTTTCTCATATAAAAGATGTCTGTGGGGAGGCTGAGTAATACAGCTATGACAGCTCCCCAGGGTAATAAGGGATCCAGGGTCCTATCTTTATGCTCCACAATCCTAGAATGATGCTTCCTTGTCAAGGTCACCTTGTACCTAATGGTCCAAAATGGCTACTAGAAATCCAGCCATCACATCCACATTCCAGTCAACACAAAAGAGAATGAAAAAGAAAGGCCATATCCCCCTTTAATAGAGCCTTTCTAGAAGTCCCACATAACACTTCTACTTATATCTCATTGGCCAGACTTGCAATCCCGGCCATATCTAGCATGGAAGGCTGGGAAGTGTATAATACATTTTCCAGTGAGGTGGCAACATACCCGGTTAAAAACCAGAGTTGCGTTATGAACTCTGGTTTGTTGTGTTACAGAGCTTAGAAGAGGGGAGGAGAGGTATGGATGTTGGTATAGATGACCAGCCACCTGCCAGAGTCACCCAGTTGGGAAGTGTTGGGGCCATGATTCAAGTCTAGCCAGTGGCCCCTCCATGGGCCAGTCAGCCTTTTCCTTCTGAGCCCATGCCCCTCTGACATAGTGCCTTCTCCCAGTGTCATGAGTGCCTAGGGGAGTAGCAAGGAATGGGAGTAGCAAGGAATGGGAGCTTTGTGGGGGGTAGGGGAGAGAGCAGCGCTGTGAAGCTGGGCTCTCTGGGGAGTTCTATTTTTCCGCAGCACCTTTCCTTCCTCCGTGCTAAGCTCAGTGCTTCCCTAAAACTCCAAGTTCTTTGTCACGGTGCTCACAGCGCAGTGGTAATGAGATGGGTGCAGATTTTCATGGGCCATTGGCTCTAAGTGGAAGGATCACTAGATTTGCTGGGTTGAATAAATAATCATGGGTGGTCACAGAAGTTTCTTGCCAGAAAACATTACAAAGTCTTCCAAAGGATGGACCTGTGCCTTTGATGGAGGGCTAGGGCTACTCCAGAGGTCTCAGGGTGCTATGAACAGCTCATCTGGGGCCTTGGCCCAGCACTGAGCCTCAGCAGGGGCACAATAACAGGAGAAGAATGTCCCTATTGGAGAGGCTGAGCCATCGCTGGAGAAATCAAGCCAGAATTATAAATGCTCACAAAGGAAACAAAACGAACAGGACTTGAAAAATGGAAGCTGACACTTGAAATCACCGATGTCAAGTCACTTTGCGGGAGTAGAACAGTGATGGGGAGCCTCAGTGGAGAGAAGGAGCCAATGTTGGGCCCAAAGCAGGAGTCCAGGGGCTGTCTTCATGAGGTCCCAGAAAATTGAGCTCTGAATGGGCTCAGAAAGCCTGAAGGTCCAAGTCCCAACGCAGGACAGTCCAATGGGAAAGGACTGAAGAACGTGCTTCTGGAGGGAGCCCGTGACCTTGCTATTCCTCCTACCAGAAAACTCCTGGTGCTAATGAGTGAGCTGGGGACAGCTGGATGCTAGAGACAGGCATACAAAGGAGGGAACCTTGGAGAATGCATCCAGGAGGTGCCACTGTTCTGCCCTTTTCTGTGACTTTGTCTATCGGGAGTCAGCTGTATCCTGGGAGATCTGACAAGAGCAAGTACAAGAGGACAGGGGTTTGACAAATACAACCTGTGCAGGGCTGTGCTAGGATGAAGTGAATAAAGCACTAATTTCAGGTACAAAATTTAAAGGGGAGCCAAAATATCTCAGTAATTAAGATAAGCATATTTTAGTGTCATGTTTAAAAAATAAAAACTAATGCAAGAAACCCATGATGAACATAACATCAAAAATTTAAATACAGAATCCAACCTTGCACTTGCATGACTTAACATCATAACCATGTCACAGAGCTTGCTGTAATAACTCCACACCATAGTTACACAAAGTTAGAGAACTGAGCTGTGAAAGCACCCTAGAAGTTACCTAGCCCAGGGAGAGAATGTGACTTGCTGAGGTTGCAGATTAAGTGGTGTGAACGCAGGATCCACACCGGATCTCTGGAGTACCACACTCTGTGCTCCTGTGTGTCACGTAACAACAGAGGCCCACTGAGATGCCACAAAAGAGCTGATTTGGATGTGTCCCTAAGCACGTCACAGGTCTAGAGGAGCAGCATGGCAGAGGGGAAGGGGCGCTGAGTTGGGATTAGGAGTCCTGGCTTCAAGTCCTGGATCTGCCTCTACCTGCTGGATGATTGTATTAGATTTGTGGGGCTGCCAACAAGTTCCCACACACTGGGTGGCTTAAAACAACAGCAGTTTATTCTCTCACAGTTCTGGAGGCCAGAAGGCTGAAATTCAGGCATTGCCAGTTATATTGGTCCATTCTCACACTGCTATAAAGAACCACCTGAGACAGGGTAATTTATAAAGCAAAGAGGTTCAATTGACTCACAGTTCTGTATTGCTGAGGAGGCCTCAGGAAACTTACAATCACAGTGGAAGGGAAAGTAAGAACCTTCTTCACAAGGCAGAAGGAAAGAGAGAGAGAGTGAAGGGGGAAGTGTCACACACATTCAAACAACCAGATCTCGTGAGAACTCATTCACTATCACAAGAACAGCAAAGGGGAAATGGCCCCCATGATTCAATCATCTCCCACCAGGTCCCTCCCCTGACACATAGGTAATCCAGGAAATCTCATCATGAGAGCCTGGGTGGAGACACAGAGCCAAACCCCATCATGAGGGTTGGCTCCTTCTGGAAGCTCTAAGAGAGATCCCTCCACTCCATGCCTCTCTCCTAAACTCTCCCTCTGCCTTTCTCTCATACAGGACACCTGTCGTTGGTTTAGGGCCTACCTGGGTAATCCAGGAAATCTTATCCTGAGAGCCTTAAGTTAATTACACCTGCAAAACCCCCCTTTTCCAAACAAGGTCACACTCCCAAGTTCCAAGGGTTACAATGTGGATATATCTTTTTAGGGGCCACTATTCAACCCACTTTCGTGATCTTGGGATGTCCCTTCCCCTCTCTGGCTCTTAGGTTTTCCATTTGTACAATAGTGAGGATGACAAGAGCCCATTCACTTGCTGTGGTTTTACAAGTGTTTGCTTGTTTTCATGGACATCGATGGATCCCAAAATACAGGCATCAATCCAGCAGCCAGTGCCATGCTGACCGTGGCCCCAAGCAGCTATATAGAACGCAAATTCAAATTCAAGAAACATTTCCTGACTCTCTAGAACTATGTTTGACCATAGACTTCTGAAGGCTGTTCGGAGAAGTTGGCTTGTGGTCAGACCATAAATAGGAATACTTTATTCAACTCTGGGCCCCACACCCTCTAGAGAGAATGTTCAACAAAGGCAAGTGCAACAAAGGAACAGGCTGAGCATGGGGAGGGGTTTGATAAATACAACCTGTGCAGGGCTGTACTAGGTGAATAAAGCACTACTTTCAGGTGCAAAATTTAAGGGAGAGTCAAAAAATCTTGGTAATTGTGTTAGTCCATTTTCATGCTGCTGATAAAGACATACCTGAGACTGGGCAATGTACAAAAGAAAGAGGTTTATTGGACTCACAGTTCCAGGTGGCTGAGGAAGCCTCACAATCATGGCAGAAGGTGAAAGGCACATCTCACATGGTGGCAGACAAGAGAAAGGATGAGAGCCAAGCAAAATGAATTTCCCCTTATCAAACAATCAGATCTCGTGAAACTTATTCTCTACCACAAGAACAGTGTGGGGGAAACTGTCCCCATGATTCAATTATCTCCCACCGGGTCCCTCCCACAACACATGGGAATTATGGGAGTACAATTCAAGACAAGATTTGGGTGGGGACGCAGAGCTAAACCCTATCAGTAATCAAGATAAAAATATTTTAATATTTTAAAAATAAAAATGAATGCAAGAAATCCATGATGAACAAAACATCGGAATTTAAATAAAGATAGAATCCAACCTTGCACTGGCATGACTCACCTCACTTTCCTCACCCTAATCCCTGTCCTGTGAATCTGGTCTTTATTTAAAATTTTGACAATTTGTTCATCATGGGGTTTTTTTTTTGGCATTATTTTAATTGCATTAACATATTTTGTTTAATCTTGATTACCGATGTATCTGGCACCCTTTTAAATTTCAGGCTTAGTCCCAGCCCTGGACCTGTGAGCTAACAATTGGAAGGACTAGCGCTGTTTAGTTTGGAGAAGCAGTGACTCTGTGGTCACTGAAGGACTATGTGGGACAGATGGGTCAATAGGATCTGAGTAGCTCCAGTGGGACCTAGGGGTGGCAGAATTAAAGGAGAGAATTCCTTTGCTACTGGAAGATCTGAGAATCTGATGGGAAGCTGGACTCCATAATGTCTAAGAGCAGCTCTGGGACCCTCTGATTCCAAGAAGCGAAGAGGCTTCAAATTTCCTTGTGTAACTTTAACAATCTCGTAACTGTGGGGTAATGTAAGAAATGCTTCCTCTTGCTTCAAAGACCATGCGGACAGGGATTGGGTCTCCTGGACTTTTGGAAGCCACCTCAATGGTCCTGTCCCCTCCAGGGGGTGGGCTTATGAGTGGGTTTTCCAAAACTGTGAGGTGAACAGTCCCAAGGTGTCCCATGCATGAGACAGTGATGGGCAAGAGGTCAGCCTCTTCACCAATCCCGAATAAGAAAATTTAGAAAAGGGAAGTCAGTGATCTGGGGGATGTTGTTACAAATGCCAAAACATTTCCTCCCAAATACACTACAAAAAATGATCTTCCTACAATGCACTCTCGTGTACTGCTCACAGCCCTGCACACAGCCCTGCATGGCTCCCACCCTGGCTGAAAGCCACACCCTTAGAACTATATCCGAGGGAGGTCCTTCCTGTAGTGTCTCATGGCTCTCATCCTGACAGCCTCACAGATCTCCTGTGCAACCATTTAAGTCTTTGGTCTTCCTGAAGCCTCTCCATTTAGTTACTGTACCATCTGCTTTCATGGATATTTTTTTCCCTTAGGTTTTGTGTTTTCCTCAATTTTTATGATATTTTTAGATTAAAATACAGGGTATCCCTGGACCCAAGGATCTTAATAAATTGCAAAATTTGACACCTTTAAAAATAACACTTACTGAATAAATGAGTTATTTCTGCTCATTATTCAACATCTCAAAAAAATGTTATATATGCATTGATTTTGGTATGAAAATATTTCTTTCAACATTTTCTAACCAGGTGCCAGTACGAGCTAAAGAGCTGTTTACAAAATATGTCCTAATGATTTGCCATTTCTTGACAAATCGATAAATCATTCATGTAGAGTTGGTTCCAATTGAGATTAAATAATACATAAAATTATATACATATATTTTTCCTTATTATAAAGCTTTTTCTTGATATAAAATTTGGTCTGTAAGAACCCTGGGGGTTGAGTGAATAATTTAACTTCTGAACTCAGAAAAGACTTATGTGCATTGCTGTGCTGAATTTTGGCTGCTGTTCAGAATTGAGAAATGGATGTTACCACCTTTACCAGGGCTATCATCACCTGATCTTTGATAAGACTTACAATGATAGAGAATGGTGTGCTTTGGAAATACTTTTACATGTCCTATATTACTTGGTCCTCGCAATAGCCCTATGAGATAAGCAGGGCAGGAATTAGTAACACTCCTCATGGAAGCATGCAGAGGCCCTGAGGCTGACACACCCTGTCCAAGGTCCTGCTCACAGTCGTGACAGCATCAAGGTGCCAGACACCATGCTAGTGGCTTGCACCACCTGCCATCAATCCTCCTGATAACCCCCAGAAGGGGGTTATCACAGATATAGAAGCAGAGATATAGAAGATATATCTATAGAAGGGACATCCTAAGATCACAACAGTATGCTGAATAGTGGCCCCTAAAAATATATATCCACACAGATATAGAAGCAGAGGCTTGGAGAACTCAGGTTCAAGGTCACACAGGTGGTAGTGGTAAAATTGGGGTTTGACGCAGTCTGGCAGCTCTACAGCATGTGTTTCCCAAAGTCTACTTAAGGCGTCTTTCCTCTCCTCCAGGAGAGCATCAACACAACTGAGAATGACATCTTAGGTAAAAGGAGCACGGGATGAACTTTTACAGAGTCTAAAGGGCCCTGAAGTTGATGCCAGGACTCTATTATTCATATATGTATACATAACATGTGTACTGTGTTATGTGCTTCACAATATCCTTACCTCATTTGGGTCTCACAGTTGCCTAGAGAGGTAAGCAGTGGAGGGTTGTACATACCACATTTTACAGGTACAAGAGGCTCAGAGAGGTCAAGTGATTTGCTCAAAGTGACACAGGACAATAAATGTGCTCTTTTGGCCAATGTCATCAGACAAGATGATCAAAGGAGGTGGGCCAGAAGGTTGAAATGGGGACCAAGGCACTGACCTTTCCTGAGATGGTCTTGATCTGCTTGGAGCTCAGGGGCTCGAAATCCACGCCAATGTAGCCCTCCATGGCAGCAAGCAGATTCTTCCGGAGGCAGCGGGATGAGTTGGCTTCCGTGTGCACCTGCTCCCACCAAGAAGGCTCGTACCAGCCCGGAATGATCCACTGATATTTACTACCATACATGTTCTCCTCGTATGCCTGTAAAAGATGGAGTGACTATGAGGGCATTGAGAGTCGCACAGTTCAAGGCTCTGTGCCCTGGAAGACAGGTGGGGAGGAAGGCTTCCTCTTCCCAGAGGATTTAGGAAATGTTTAATTACTTGTTTGGTTTCTTCCTTGCTATTTATCAAAGGATCCAAGGTAGTTTATGGATAACATGTATAATAAAATAATAAGTACTGAATAAAAATTAAAACATAAGGGCCCATAAAAATATAAATTATGTTTCCTGAAGATAGAAGGAACAGAATGTAGACAGACCAAAGGTTCTAACCATATTCATCATTAGCTGCAAATTTCACCATGAACTTCCCAGCAGCCCAAGAGAAAAGGGCAACAAGGTTATTTACACAACTCTCATTATCAATAAGGAGAAAACATACCAGATCTTTGGGGAAACAAAGTATTTTCTAGTCTCTAACCCTAAAAATGTCCCATATGGAGAGGATACTGTCAAATTAGCCAGTTTAGTATCAACACAACTTCTACAACAAAGAGATTTCATAAAGCTAATTTTTGTATAGATCTTTACTAAAAGCTGAGGCCTCATAACACAACCCAGGGGGAATAATTTTTAAGGGGCCAAGGCAATTTAATCTAAGTGTGTAGTTTATATAAGATGCCACTTGGCAAACCGAGAAGTCGCTCTGAATCTTTATCCAAAACACAGAGTGTATAAATTCAGATCCTAAAAAAATTCCCTTACATTTTTATATCTTACATGGATCTTATTTGATTGTCACTCACATTCACTCTGGGAGGTGGTTTATCATCCTCATTCTAGAGAGGAGGAAACTGAAAATCAGAGGGAAAGTAACTTTTCCAAGGTCAAACAGTCAGGGAGAAAAGTCAGGCCTGGATCTAGTTCTGCTGACTTTAAGGGTACAAAGCTACACTGCTTGCCTTCCATTTAAAGAAAAGTCATCAGAAGGTTCTAATGCACCCCTACTTGACTCTAATTCTTATTGTCATTATTTTATATCAGGAAAATCATGGTTTTTGATAGCTTTGATTCAAGCAGAAAAGTCCCAGTTTGTAGGACTGTCAGGTTCCATCAAAATTGGGTTCAGAATAAAGTTTCTAAGTGGTGGTCATGTACCCGTAAGTAAACAAAATACCCAGAAGTGACTACAGAGAGCAGGGGTGGATGGAAATTTCCTCTGTGCATTGATGGACTGCCCGCATTCTAAACTGAAACCTTAAACAATCCTTCCGTTCAATCCTGGGGAGTCACCCACATTAGGAGATGTTGGGGAACCATTCATGTCGCACCCCTTGGCCTACAGCAGGGTTAATGTGAGAGGACAGGAGGGTGTAGGGAGAGAAGCCTGAGATTGCTCTGGACCCTGGGAAGGTTCTTGCTGCCTTCCACTTAGGCTCCAGGAGGCTAAAGTGAGGGTCTGTCCACAGAAGGGAGGCCAGAGCTCCCAACAACTCCTATATGTTAGAGAAAAGTTACCATCAATTCTAACAGTCAGAGGGGCACTCTCCTCATCCCAAGTCCAGAGGCTACTCCTCTAAAACACCCTTAATACCTGAGAAAGCCCAGGCTGCAGTGTGGAGCAGCTCATTGGGGTACATGTGAGTTAAAAGATTTGTTCCTTGACTTAAGCTCAGATCCCCTCTCTGTGGTCTCCATCCATTGGTTCGGCAAGGTATCTGAAGATTAAATAGACATTGCTTAACAAAAGACCCCTTCAACTACCTCAAGGCAGTGATCACACTGTCTCTTCACTAGACTCCTTCGATGATACAGGACCTTCGCTTCCCTCATTTTAGACACTGTACTTCTCATAATGCAACCTCAGATCACAGTCATTTTTGCAGCAACTACATTACAATGTTGCCCCAAACAAAACTGTCATGGAAAATACAGAAAACTCTCGTATTTTAATTACCTAACAAAATCCCAGCTGAAGAAAAGCAGGCAGTCTCCGGGGCTTCTCTCTAATGAATGAAATTTAGTCCACAGAAACTTTAAAAAAAAAAAAGAAAAGAAAAGAAAAGAAAAGAAATGCCAGATCCTGGCTGGGGACTAGACTTTTGAATAAAAGGGTCACCCTAGTAATCCCAGGTCATTTAATCAATGGCAGAGCCTGTAAGACTTCACAACTCTCATCTTTTACTGACAGAGATCTCATGTGTATTGAGGTCCCATTATGTGTGTTGCTATTTTTATATATTATTTTATTCTCACAACTACCCTATGAGGTATGCACTATTATCTAAATTTTATAGATGAAATTTTCTCAACACATATAGCTGGTAAGTCAAAGGGACAAGACTCAAAGTCCATTCTTGAAGTTCCGCTCTTAGTAAAACAAAACAAAAGGATTTTTGGAAGTTTTCTCAATCTTATAAGGTTGTGGCAAGGAGACAGCTCCACTTATGAGGAAGTAAGAATCAGTAGATACAGAGTGGCTGGGCGCGTTGGCTCATGCCTATAGCACTTTGGGAGGCCGAGGTGGGCGGATCACTTGAGGTCAGGAGTTCAAGACCAGCCTGGCCAACATGGTGAAACCTTGTCTGTACTAAAAAATACAAAAATTAGCTGGGCATGGTGGCACATGCCTGTAATCCCAGCTACTCAGGAGGCTGAGGCAGGAGAATTGCTTGAACCTGGGAGGCAGAAGTTGCAGTGAGCTGAGATCACACCCCCGTACTCCAGCCTGAGTGACAGAGTGAGACTCTGTCTCAAAAAACAAACAAACAAACAAAAAAACTCAGAGTGAGGATATGAAAAGGCCTTCTGATCAGACACAAAGGCAGATTTTCTTCACACATGTGATAATTAAGACCATGTGGTAATTAATTAAGAGGCAGCACTGAGCAGGAAGTTCAGAGCAGAAAATCAGATCAGCTCTGACAGTTCTTCAACCAGCTACTGTCCTGTTGTAGCTGTTTCTTGTAAGTGAGTTTTCCAGAAAACAGAAGCTTATTCCATTTGAATGATAATACATTTTATTTAGAACATTAGTCAATTTTGATGAAGACAAAACTTTTTCTAACCTAGCTTCTGACTTTTTGGGGAAAAAAATAATACAGTCAAACAGCAGATTTTCTGCCACATGCCTGCCAGGTAACTCATGCACACAACTCCTGGAGCCCCACTTTTCCCATGGACAGACAGAGGAAAGCAAAGCCTGCCTCACTGTACTGGTTTAAGAATTAAATGAGATAATTTGTGTATCATGCATGGCAAACACTATGTTCAGAAACATTTTAGCTGCCCCTTCTCATTCTCTTCTCCTCTTGGTAACCCATAGTTTCATTCTGAACATAAGTCACTGTTCTGGGCTATGTTCTTGGGCTTAGAGAAGACTGCCCCAAACACCAGATGGCCCCAGACAGTTGTACTTAGACTTTGGATCCACTTTTCATGGCTTTTTGTCTCCTTTCTAGCTGTCAGTTCTACACTGTCATTTTTCACTATCATCAAGTTCCTCTGCCTCACTCTGAATTTGCTGCTTTTAAACTGCTATAGACTTGGAAAGTAGGGCGCCTAGATTGCTAAGCATATTTGTAGAGCAAAAGCAAGCAGGCTTTGAGTGAGGCTCTCCTGCAAGGGAGGTAGACTGGGCTTGGATAGATCATCCATTGTCTAATGCAACTGTGGAAATGCCTCCAGGACTCCATTGCAGTATTCCTATGGTCAGAAGGGCTGAGGTTGTTGGACACATGAGTTTTAACTAGGCACTGGTATGCTTCTCTGTCTCCTCTGCCAGTTGGGGAGTTTTGGGAGGGTGGGGCCATGCCAGTTCTCTCCTGGAGCCCCAGGGCTTTCTACAGTGCCTGGTATACAGGGGCTACTCAATCAACGGTTGTGGACCGACCGAATGAATGCATTTCTAATTTACTTGGTCACCTTGATTTTTGTTTTCTTTTTTCTTGAGACAGGGTCTGTCTCTGTCACTCAGGCTGGAATGCTGTGGCATGACCATGGGTCACTGCAGCCTCGAACTTCTGGGCTCCAGCAATCCTCCCACCTCAGCCTCCTGAGTAGCTGAGAATACAGGCAGATGATACCACGCCCAGCTAATTTTTAAATTTTTTGTAGAGATGAGGTCTTGCCATGCTGCCCAGGCTGGTCTAACTCTTGGGCTTAGGCTATCTTCCAGCCTTGGCCTCCCAAAGTGTTGGGATCACAGGCATGAGCCACCACACCTCCATTTTCTCTGCATCTGGTAGAAATGTGGTCTTAGGACCTATGACTGACAAACGGGTACTATTGCATGAGAGTGGGCCATCCTGAGTTCACACGGTTCAGCCCCATGAACCCCTTTGGTTCTTACTAGCTGTATACATGTAGCCATGACACAATTTAAAAAAAAATCTAATTTCATCATTTAATTAAGTTTCCTTTTGCCTCCTCCACTCCCCATGCAAGAAAGACGTTTCCTTTTTATATTAAGGTTTACAACAATAATAGTAATAAACCCTCGCATCAGTAAGGCAGTTAACAGTTAGGATGAAGCTTTCCCTTTGGTGGCCTCATTTAAGCCTCTCGACAACCCCATGAAGCAGACAGGGTACGGATCATTGCTTCCATTTCAGAGATGAGGCAGCTGGGGACCAGAGATGTAAAGCGACCTGATTGAGGTCACACAGCTGGCAGAGCTAAAACCAGAACCCACATTAGAGTGCTTGAGAATTTAGAACAGACCACTGAGGACAGAGGAGAAGACAAAAGCAACATGCCATGCTCATACTGTGCTGATGCCAAAATGAACATTTGCCACAGGGCTATAAATAGGCCTTGCATTTGCTGGAGTCTGCGATCCCATTGGGTGGCAGTTCCAATCTCAAGAACACAGCAACACGCTGTAAAGTTTCCAGGGCAGCATTTGGATGGCAGAGACATGGTTGTTTCCATGTGGTCTCTGCTCTGACTCCAATAGAGATCGGAAGGCTCTCTTGGGGGCCTCTGCTCTGAGCGTCCCCTCCCTCTGTCACTTATCAGTCTTGATCCAGCGTGAAAACATTGAACAGTCTCCTTAGGACCTTCTGGACCTTCCAGAAGAACTCCTTCCCAACCAGACAAGACCATAAGTCCTTGAGGGCAGATTCCATCTGGGGACCCAACACATGGACACTATACCCAGCCCAAAGCCTCTGAGAAACTCCTCGGAATGGGGCAGCAAGTGAAGACTCTAAGAGAAACCTCATCTCAAAATGCCAAAACTAACAAGAGTGAAGAGGAAAATGGGATGAGAAGGTGGGATGATGTCCCCGTACCATGTGGAAGGCAGACAAGCCAGGGGGCTTTGGGTTGAAAGGTAGACAGCCATGCCATCTGTTCAGAAGCAGAAACCATGGCTGGGAAAGCCACTTGGAAACTCACCCCAGTGCGTGGCAGAGTGAGATCACAGTCACACCTGGGCTTTGATTTGGCTTAAATCAGAACATAAGGCCCATCTATGTTTCTTGCAAACTGGAGGTGGCCAGGGTCTGGTGTGGCATCTTCATAGATCATTTTTATTAATTTATTTTTTCTGAAGTTATTTGTTTTCCTCATTCGATCAACACCAATCACCCACCATGTACCAGCTCCTTGCAAGGCCCTGGGGATACTGGAGAGGGGATACCGAGTTTCTTTTGTAAAAGAAAGCACGCTCTCAAATTTGGACCATTATTTTCCTTTTTAAAGTGGGTTATTTCTGGACCCTACGTAGTAAGCAGCAAGGTTTTATGAGTTTTGGAGTAAAATTTTTATATCTATTCACTCTATATTTTCTATTTTTCTCATGGTCCTCCTTCGATTTCAATGTGGAAAGACCTCTTGCTACTCTCCACTGATAAATAGAATGCTTAACACAATTTTGTGGAATCTACCCATAAAACTTGCCAGTAAATGGTGGCCCATTCCATCTTTGGACACCTGAGACCCTATATAAACAACCAAAAAAAGATGGCTGGTATCTGCTGAGGGTTCACTGTACATGAGGTACTATGCAGAGGGTTTTTGCTCAACAATCTTATCAGACAGGTGTTACAATCCCCATTTTACAGATGAGAAACTGGGGCTCAGAGAGTGTAAACAACATACCCAACTTCAATAATAAGTAGCAGAACAGGGACTCAAGCCCAAGCTGATTGGCTCCTGAGTGCCAGCCTCCATCCAAGATCCCCTGAAATGTCAGCCTCACAGCCTCTCCCTTCTCCCGGCTAAATCAGAAGATGATCGGACAGTTCTCGTTTTGCTCCTGAGCCTTCAGGTTCAAATAACCACACGTGACCACGGCTTGCAGCCACTACCCTATCCTCGCTGCTTGTCTCTTTTCAATTCCTACATCTGTCCAAAACAGGCCACCAGGAGCTGGGCAGGTCTCCCTAGGTGGGGTCTCTCCAGCAAAGAGCAGAGGGACTACCCTGCCCTGGGTGTAGACATGCAATTTGAGGTCACCTCGGCTCTCTGGCACTGTGCTCATGCTGATGACCTTAGTTGCCAGACCCGGTAGTAAACTGGGGGTCATCTGGAACATCCAAAGTCCCTTCTCTTCTCAACACACAGTACTCCTCAGCTATCCCTCTACCACTTGGACTTAGGCAGCTTCATTTGTTCTAATATAATATGTTAGGACCATTTACTCTGCTTGGATTTAATCAAACATTCCAACCTGTTAAAGTTCTTTGCACTCAAACTCTGTCATCCAATGTATTTCATGATTTCTAGAATTCCTATTTATAACCTCATCCACATTACTGACAAAAAGATCAGAGATCTGCGGCCCGTCACCAGACACTACGCCTAGAATGACCTCAGTCTAAAAGGTGAAGCTTATTGGGCAGACAGTGACTCACCTGCCTGGGCTTTCATTTTGTTGACTTTTCTCCTGACATGATGGGGAGGATTGGGAGCTGGGACATCAAAATGGAAACTGACTTAGTTCCTGTGTTCTGTCCCCTACATCTAACTTAAGCTAGAAGTCATATGGAGAAAACCTTTTTTTTTTAGAGACTAGATTGGGGATCAGGTTAATGGGGATGGAGCCTTGGCTCTGCCATGAATTGGCTGAGGGCCCTTGGACAAGTCCCTTTACTCTATGGAGCTCTATTTCCTCATCTGTAAAATGGGAAAATCATAGTTGCTTCACATGGTTATTGAAAAGATTAAATGAGATAAGGCATAAAAAGGTCACCTTTGTCATCTGTCACTAGACAGCTGTAAAGGATTCAGGAGGAGAAAATCAATAGTTGATAATTTGTCCCTAACCTAAGACTCTGAGCCCTACCTACAGGGCAGGGAGGGGGTCTGAGTCACTTCAGCCTCACCCTGATTTCTGGTATCTCCCTGGCTAAGTTGAGCAGACTTAGAATTAGCCAACAAGGCTTAGACTATGGGTTAGACTGAGGTCCCTGGTTCCTCGATGATGGTATTGTTCTGAGCCCTGGGGTTTTAGCTCCCTGGAAAGAGGAAAGAACAGTGAACGCAACTCTTCTGCTTCCAGGAACCCAGGCTCCAGTCCTGTGATCCCACTCACAGACTGAGCAGGGAGATAATGAGTATGGGAAAAAGCTTCGTGAACCTCCCCAAAGACACGAATGATACAACTGTTTTACTTACACAACAGAACACTTTTGCTGCCATATTCTGGTCAAACTGGCCAAGGATGATCCGCACATCATTCCCCTGTGGATGGAAGGACACATCATGAAGGTGAGTAGATGTTCAGCACCCCATAAAGGGTTCAAGGCTGTGGCAGACAACATTCCTTCACCTCTGGCTCTTAGCCCAGAGCTCTGCCTGGGAAGGTGGGCAGGGCAGAACCTCACCCCCAACCCCAGCCCAGCCTGGATTCTCTAGCCCTCTCCAGGGCTGGCTTTCCTGTGGCTCCTGCAGTCAGTCCACCCTGGTCTCATGGGCAAGCCCTAGGGCAAGTCTGTACAGGCTGGAGGCTAAAGCTGACTGCTCTCAGGGGCCTTGCAACCTCCCCTGTTCTCCTCCCACCAGGGCAGGCAAATCCTGCAGTCCATGGAAGCATCATCTAACTTTCTTCCACACTTTACATATAGGAAAACTGAGGCCAGATGAGGAGAAAGGAGCTTCTAAGGCCCCTGGGGAGTTTGTGGCAGAGACAAGACCCCAGCCAACCACACTCTGCTGCCCTGCACAGTGTTCTAGCCCTTTCTACCTTCCTGATAGTTAATCCCTCAAGAAATTCCTGGAGCCTACAGAGCTTCCCAATTAAGAGGTTTCAGACTTGCTTTGAGCTTTGTTCGCATCTCAGCTCTACCAACAAACCATGGGTGGCCTCTGGTCGCTCCTTTTCCATCTCAGCCCCAGTTTCCTCATCTGCAAAATGAGGATAATGGTAGTACGTTCCTTACCGGATTTCTGGGAAGACTAAGTGAAATAGTCCTTGTAAAGTGCTTAACACAGTGCCTAGCACATAGTGAGTGTCCACCTTTATTTCTAAGGAAAATCTATTTTTGAAAGCTCTATACATGGGATTACATTCATTATCTCAGTGTGGTTAATAGGAATGTGTACAGTGACCCCTGTGACTCATTCATTCATTCAACAGACAATTACTGAGCATCAGCCAGAGGCTCTCATGGGTCAGGTAAATGGGGTCTTTGTTGCTTTCTGGGGCATTGGGATCCAGCTGCGTCCTGTCCCATGGAGAAGAACAGGCTGAAAGAGAACGGGTGGGGCGGCCACCAGGAGACCAGCCAGGCCCTGGCCCAAACACCTGCTCCCCATCCCAGCCGCTTCCTGCCCTCCACAGTGAGGCCCAGCCTTGCAGGTGGTGCCACCTTCCTGCAGTTCATCCATCCCCTCCAGCAGGCCTCATGGCCCTTTGATGCATAAAGTAGAAAAATATGCTTTTAAAGATCAGTTTTTAGCATCTTTCAAAATTGGAAAGTGCTGACTGAGAGGCCATTTTACTCATCATGTACTTTAGCAAAATAAAGAAGGCCTGGATTCTAAAATCATCTTTCGTTTGCAAGCAAGAATGGAAAGAAGAGGGGAAAAAAAACACTGGCTCTGAAAGGACTTTAAAAGATCGTTAACAGAGCAGTGGAAGGAAGGCAAGCCTTTGTCATCACCACGTCTGCAATGCTATAAAAAGTTCTAAGCTGCTTCCGTTCTGTGGACTTGCTTCCAGGCATGCTCCAAGATCTTTCTGCTTGTTCGTTAAAAATTTTTAGCATTTTTTGCTGCTGACAGTACCCATGCATCCATCCATCCTTTCATCCAGCAAGTATCTATTGATCATCTACTTTGTGCCAAACCCTGTGTTGCTAAACATGGTATGGTAAAAACAGCTTATTAGATTTTGAAGTCAGAGACCTGGGTTCAAATCACAGCTCCACCTCTGATTAGCTGAAAACTTTGCTTCTTAATCTCCTGGAGCCTCAATTCCTTCATCTCTGAGAAAGGGATAATCCTATCTACCTTGCCCAGTGGTTGTCAATTCATCATAATGAAACTCACCCGGTGGCTTCCATGCTGCTCTCTGCTGGCTCCCCTCGTGCCTGCCTGGCCACTCCTGCTCATACTCCTCATCATCAGCTCCTGACCTTTCTGCCCATCCCTAAATGCTGGTGTTCTGTCCTTAGCTCTTTGCTCCCATCACTCTCCCTGGGCCACCTAGTTCATGACCCCAGCCACAACTGTTCTCTGTGTGCTGTGGACTCCAAATCTCTCCCCCCAGCCTCAGATTTTCTCCAGTTTCCCACCAGACTCTTCCAGTTGGATTCTCTCAGGCACCTCCAGCGCAACATGTCCCAAGCTGAATCCACCAGCTTTCCCAAGAGGCCCTTTCCTCCTCCTGTGTTTTCCATTTCTGACAATGTCAGGAACTTGGGAGTCATCTTAGACTCACTCCTCTTCTTCAACCCTCATCCAAGCCATAACTGGAATCTGTTGGTTCTGTCTGCTCACAACTAGCTCCTTAATCAGTCCCAACCCTCCAGCCCCACTGCCCTGAGTTTGGTTACCATCATTCCTTACTCAGTGAACAGCAACAGCCTCCCTGCACCCTTGCCATGAATCCTGCCCCATCCACCCATCGCCACAGAGCAGAGGAAGGGTTCATTCCTAGATTCAAGTCTGATTGTGTGAAATCTGTCCATGGCTTCCTGAGGTTTGCAGATCAAACACTGAGCTCCTTAGCACATTCAAGATGTGCTAAAGATAGAGATGGTAAAGATCCTATGCAGTCTTTACCAACTGACTTGTGCTCAATTCTCTATCACATTTCTCATACCCTGCCTTGGCAGTGAGTCCTAAAACAGGACTGCATTCATTCATTCATTTATTCATATTCCCACTTCGCCCCCCACCCATTCTGCAAGTCTATCCCTCCAGAGTGCCCTTCCCTCTCCTCCCACTTACTTTGCCCGCACAGCTGCTACTCACCCTTCCTACCTTAGCCCAGGCTCCTCTGTTCTGAGAAACCATCTCTCTGCCCCATCAGGCTTGGTGGCCACTTCTTCCTCTGTGAGCCTGGATCACCCTGTGCTTGCCTCCAATGTGGCTCAAGTCCACTTACTTGTCTGTCTTCCCCACTGAAGTAAGCGTAACTTGACTTATCTCTAAGTCCCCAGCTCCCAGAACAGGGCGCTACACATATGTCAACAAATATGTGTTGAATGCACGATGAAGTGAATTAATCCAGTGTGCAGCATCACGCACAATGCCTGGCCTACGCTGCTTATTTGGTCACTAGTAGCCATTATCATCACTGCACTAATATCTGACCAACCCCATGGTCTAGACCCTGGGCTCACCATGTCCACTTCTTGAGTAGATCGAGGGACCCACATCTTCATAGCTGACCTCCTGACCACCTGCTGACAGTTAAATAACCAGCTCTGCCACTTGTGAACCATTTGGTGTCTTTGTTGCTATGACAACCGAGTTGCAAGGACCACTTTGTTCAGTGCTCCCAGGCTGTTAGATTTGGATGGGGCCCGTGGGATCCCCCATCTAGCTAATCTCTTCCCAGAGAGGTACAAGCTCTCCCAGGGCTCCACAGAACCAAAATGAAAGCCAGAGCTCTCACTTTGGTTCTCCTTGACCATTAGAGGGCCCTGGAGACAGATCCTATGCAGAGCCAGGTCATGCCTGCTGCAGGAAGCTGTGAACACATACTCTGCTTCTAGACGGTGAGAAAGAGGGGGAAAGACGCTGCCAAGTCTGGAAGGAAGGAGGAGCAGCCCGGAATCCAGGGTTGGGGAGAGGCCAAACGGGGGATGAGGCTGGATGGGGATCTTGGGGGGCACCATAGAGCAGTATAAACAGTTTGAGGTGCTTCTCAAACTAGGGTATGTGCATTCTAGAGCACGAGGAGGTGTCCCGAGTGTAGGAAGTGCAGATATACTGCGTTCTCCTTTCTAAAGTAGCAACTTACTGGAAGATTCAGGGGTTAGGGGAAAGGTTTTGGATTTGGGGAATCTTAATAGTTTTTCCACACATGTGCATGCTCTCATGAAAGTTCCAGAATCATGCTTTTCAATGTTGCATAGCTTGTATCTTTTCCTGAAAGTCCAGAGAGTAGAAAGAAGAAATTTGGGAATAGCAGTAGCCCCTGCTTTCAGACAAGCCCCCTGCCTCCCTGCCAGGGTATGGGCCCATTCTCTTATGCTGAAAGGGCTTGGGGCAGTTTAGGCAGTAGTAGGGGGTAGGGAGGGGCAGCCATAACCATCCCTGAGGATGACAGTGACAGATCAGAGCTGTGATATCACAAAGGACTGGAAACGTGGCAGAGGGCAGGGTCTGGAAAATCCTGTGCCCTTCCAGGGACTTGGCTCTGCAGGGAGCTTCCTGGAGTGAAAGCAGATGACCTGAGTTGGGGCAAATGAGATGGCCAGGTCTAGGGTTGGAGACCATACATGGAGACCTATGTTCACACCCTCAAGAGGCTACTATCACAAGAAAGGGGCAAAAGTGGAAGGAAACAGCGGTGGGAATGGGGTAGGAAAATGGGGAGGGGTATTCAGCCCAAACCCCCAACAGTGACAGGATGAGTGAGGGAGAGGCCCACTAAACTCCCTCTGGAGAGGAGTCTAATGTTGCCAAACCCTGGGTAGCTTTCCTTTTCTTTTTCTTGACCCTGTCTCATCCCTCATCTAGAACCACTTTGTCTCTGGGATGCTTAAAGAGAGCTAAACACACATACACACACGCAGGCACACACACACACAGGCACGCACACACACTCACGCACGCACATGACACTTAGCAAGGATAACCCAATTCAAAGAACTAGCATGTACCCCCAGTTTGCAAGCAATCCTAACATCATAAAAATAACAACTCTCAAGCCCTTTCTGAGCTGTTGTGCTAAACAGTCCGTCAGCCCCACCCTGGGAGGTGGGCGCTGTTATTATGCTCACTTTGGAAAGATTCATGAGCAAAGCAAGGTCCAAAGAATTAAGCAAACTTCCCAGGTGCAGTCCCCTCCTTGGGGCTGGTACACCCGCCCGGCTGCAGTGAGGGTGGGCTGCTGACAGCTCACTCCCTTCTCTGGAGAACTGCCCTCAGCTAAGGGGAGCTTCCTGGCCATGGGAGCCACTCCATGCCCCACACCCCACAGAGAGCAACCAACAACTGACTCACATTGGTGGAAAACTCCGGCCCCCCTGCTGAAAGTTAGGATCAGCTCTGTGGTGCTGTCTGTGCTCCGGAGACCCCTGTGGGGCCAGGCTAAACTGGTATCCATCCAAGACAGAGCTCCTCCTGCCTCATCCTGCTTCCCTCCCCTTCTCCTGAGTACTTCCACAATAAATTACTTTCCCAAGCATCTCAGGCTCTGTTTGTAGGGACTTCAACCTAAGATGCCAGGTCACACAAATAGGAGGTGGTGGCACTGGCCTTGCCCCGGGTGGGTGTGGTCCCAGAGCCTGAGTGCTTGACTCCTCGCTCCTATCTACCGCCTCCCAGTTGAGGATGCAAACCCCACTGGGTCTGAGCTGCTGGAGCTCAGCACTCAATCTGCAGCAACAGCTAACTGAGAAAAGTCATGCAGATGTTGAAGTGAAAGGATATAAATGGCAAATGCAATCCTGAGCCACTGAAATTGCTGGTGTGCATTTAAGAGTGCAGGACAGCAGAGGTGAGGAAGATGAGGGACCACGCCCTCCAGCCAGCCTTCCTTGCCTGTGGAGCATGGACTCTTGCAAGGAAGGTCAAGCTCGACCCTGAGCCTGACCCTGACCTCTGGGTTGTCTGGAATCTCCTGCCACCCATGCATCTGTCTAGGTCCACTCAATGGCATCCTGGTTTCTCAGAGCCTAGCCTCGCAGACTACCTACTGTGCTGGGCTGCTGAAAATTCAAATGTCACAATGCTATATAAAGAGAGGAGATGCTATAAACCCCTAAGGCAGCTGAGCTGTTAGAGGCTGGCCATGACCTGGGCCAGCGGGCACTGCCTAAGGCTTCGGAAGCCCAGGCCAGTCCTGTGCCCCAACTGTCTGGCTGTAGACTTGGAGTGGGCCCTAGAAGTTCAGCCTAGAATGTTCTCCAAAGTCCCTCCTGGCTCTGACAAACTGATCCCATACCCACAATGAGTAGTCCCTTTTATTTAGCTAAAATTTGTCTTACTTAGACCCCACCCCCCACTGGAAATGTCCATAAAGGCAGAGAAGCATATGCTTCACTCTGTCCGTAAAGGCAGTGAAGGCATACGCTTCACTCTCAAGGAAGGGAGCGAAGAGGGAATAGCCCACAGCAGCCCAGTGGAAAGCATGGCATTTCTTTAAAGTTTATTCTTGTATCTTGAAAATTCATGTATATTTAACACTCTAATAATATATCTATGTCGTAAGTTAAAAATAATACCTTTTCGTCTCCATGTCTCTGAGCAAACCTGGCCTGTGAGAAAGATGCACCATGTGTATTCTGCAGCTTTGCGTCCCCTTGGGGTGCCTGTATGAACTTCAGTTTCAGGCAGTCAGGATGGACTCCTGGCCTGTGGGAGTGGCAGTTCTCATCAGGTCTCTCCTATCTGGTTGGGAAAAAAGGGGGTCAATTCCCTAAGGACTTTTTTTTGGCCAGAGTCAAGAGGGAGAGCACAGTTCCCACTAGGACTTTACCATGGAGCAAGGGAAGGGCAGTCCTCTCAAAGCCTACCTTTGTAGTTGTCTTATGCCAGGCAGAATAATAGCCACATCCTGGCTGGGCTCAGTGGCTCATGCCTGTAATCCCAGCACATTAGGAGGCCAAGGCAGGAGAATCACTTGAGCTCAGGAGTTCAAGACCAGTCTGGGAAACGTGGAGAAACCCTGTCTCTACAAATATATATATATATATAGGCTGAGTATGGTGGTGCATGCCTGTAGTCCCAGTTACTTGGGAGGCTGAGGTGGGAGGATTGCTTGAGCCCAGGAAGTTGAGGCTGCAGTGAGCTGTGATTACACCACTACACTCCAGCCTGGGTTACAGAGTGAGACCCTGTCCCCACTCCCCCAGTCCCCCAAAAAAGGCCACATCCTAATCCCCAGAACCTGTGAGTACGTTATGTCACGTGGTAAAGGGAAAATTCACATTCCAGATGGAATTAAGGTTGTTTATCAGCTGATCTTAAAATAGGGAGATTTTCTTGGATTAGCCAGGTGATAATGTATTCACAGGGTCCTTAAATGTATTCATGTATTCACAAGGTCCTTAAACATGGCCGAGGCAGAGACAGTGATACAGTGTGGGAAAGGCTCCACTGACTATGGCTCACTTTGAAGATAGAGGAAGGGGATGCCAGCTGAGGGATGCAGGTGGCCTCTAGATACTGGAACTAGAGCCTCCAGAAGGAACTTGGCCGCACTGACACCTTGATGTTGGCCTGTCAAGATCCATGTAGGACATCTGGCTTCCAGACAGTAAGATAAATTTGTGTTGCTTGAAGCTGTTCAGATTTTCACAGCAGCAATGGGAAATGAAGACACTTCCCTCTCTGGAAAGGCCTTACCTTGGGCTTATCCTGTCTCCCTCCTCTCTCTGCTGGGGTTCTAGGACACTCAGTTGTTGCTGACTAGTCGAGTAGCTTTTCTGGTCAAAGCTGTCCCCTTAATGTGAGGCATAAGGATCCCCACTAATATTGTTGGAGAATTGGGCTATTTTTGTGAGTCACTCAAAAAAGAAAGCCAAACATGGCTCTAAATGGCACAGACATATTTTCTTTTCCTTTTTTAAGAGTAGAAAGCCTGGCTCAATTTAGAGGGTCTTCATGATGTTGCACTGGGGCCCAAATATTGCATCAATATAAAAAATAAAGATGAGAGCTTTCTGCTTATCTCTGTCTTTCTGTCATTCCCTAGCACTTTTTTTTTTAACCGCTCCTCCACTTAAGGCAAGTAAGTTGCAAAGCCCTTTCATTCCTGTTTTGTTACTAAGAAGAAATGGGGGGAGACAGGTCATTTAAAAATGTTGGGTATGAGTAACCTTGGAATGTTGAGAGGCTATGCTGACTGAGGAGTGTGGGTGGACACGAAGCTGGGAGGCATGCCGTGGAGGTTAAGAGCCAGTCTGTAGCTAGACTGCTGAGCTAGAATCTCAGCTCAGTCACTTAATCAGCTTCATGGCCTCAGGCAAGTTATTAAACTTTCGTGAGCTTCAGTTTCTCTACCTATAAAATGGGGATAATAATAGTACCTATCTTCAGAGCAGGTGGTGGCAAACAATTTCTATAAAGGTCCAGATAGTAAATATTTTTGGTCTCATAGGCCATATAGTCTCTGTTGCAATTACTCAGTTCTGCCGCTGTAGCACAAAAGCAGCCAAGGACGTTGTGGTAAATGAATGTGTTCCTATAAAACTTTATTTACAAACACAGAGAGTAGGCCGGATTTGGCCCATGAGCTGTAGTTTGCTGACTGCTATTGTAGAGTTATTGTGGGGATGAAGTGAATTCATGAATCTGTGGGCACAAAGGGAGTGCTTAAAAGTGTCCTCCTTTGATGTTGAAGCAGAAGCGTTGGATGAGGTCAGAAGAAGAGGCTGTGATAAGATGGAGAGAGAGAAGAGGAGCCCTCTGGAAAGAGGTGGCTGCTGGCACAGCGCTGACGCAGGCAAGCAAGGCTCTTGACTCCTCTGGTAAATTCACCTGCAATAGGGAAGCTCTGTGGGCCCAGAGACCCTAAATGAATTGCTCACAATCTTTCAGCTTTGCTTACTGTCTCAAAGTTTGGATTTTAGAAAGTCCTTTGTTATCATTTTAAGATATTCATTAAAAGATAGAGAGTTCCATGGCTTCTTTCCCTGAAATTCTCTAATTTTATTATTTAGTGTTTTATTATTTAGTCTTTTCTCTATTCCAGCATCTCTCAAGTTTCGAACGTAATATCAACTACTGATTTTTCAGCCCCCGAGAGAGCCCAACAGTCTGCCTACGGCGACCATCACACAATTGGGATGGCCCAGTGCCCTCTCTACAGAGGAAGACACCAAGGCAGGGACGGAGTCCAACCCCGGGTCTACTTGATTCAAAAGCCCCTGTTATGCTTGGCACAGGTGGCTCACGCCTGTAATCCAGCACTTTGGGAGGTCAAGGCGGACGGATCACCTAAGGTCAGGAGTTTGAGACCAGCCTGGCCAACATGGTAAAACACCATCTCTACTAAAAATACAAAAATTAGCCAGGCTTGGTGGAGGGCACCTGTAATCCCAGCTACTCAGGAGGCTGAGGCAGGAGAATCACTTGAACCCAGGAAGTGGAGGTTGCAGTGAGCCGAGATCGTGCCACCGCACTCCAGCCTGGGCGACAGAGCAACACACCTACACGCAAAGCCCCTGTTCTGAGTTTCTGTCTGGGATGATGAAACAGTTCTGGAAGTGGATAATGGGATGGTTGTACAACACTGTGAATGTACTTAATGCCACTGAATTGAACACTTAAAAATGGTTAAAATGGTAAATTTTATGTCACATATATTTTACTACAATAAAAAAAAAGGGTCACAACTAGAACAGCATTCCCTATACTTTCTGAGTTCTGACAAAAAAAAGGAATAAAGACTGCTGATGATTTCTGTAAAAGTAGGGCATAGGGTTCCTGATGGTGGGGGCAGGGGGCTGTGGATAGAAGGGACTTTTGGGGTATCTGATAAAGTTCTCTGACCTGTGTGCTGTTTGCCTTAGGATTCATTTAGACATTCATTTGATTTCTGTGGCTTTCAAATTGTTGTTTGATTTTACAATAAAAGATTTTCTTTAAAAGTTCCTGCTCTTTCCACAAAAATATTTGGTCTCCAGAGCACCCGGATTGAACTGAGGCAACTGCCCCTCCCATGTCAATTCCAGACATAAGGGTCTGTGGATGCCCCATGGTTGAAATAATGTACCACATATTCCTCCAACAAATGGAAATATGAATATAGGGCAGAAGGCCACTTTGGGGAAGGTGCATGAAGCAACTGAAATGTCCAGAAAGGGAAATGTGACACCTGGAACTCTCCCTATGAGTGCCCAGGACGTGGTCTCTGTGCAGAGCAGCTTCCCAGCCCCGCCTGGAAACAGCTAAACTTTAGCCACCCCCTGTTCAGAACAGGCTTGGAATGAGCTTAAAGGGCCTCGCGACTTCATCACACAGAAATGGTATTTCCTGACTTTCTTGATACAAATTTCGATACACATCTGCTAAATCAGCCTTATTAATTTCATTATTCCGTTCCTCTGTGCTCTTGCCTTTTTTTTTTTGCCTGGGTGAACTGTCCAAGAGTGAGAGAGAGATGTTATGCCTCCCAATGCTATTGTGTTTCTGTCAATTTCCGTCTCTATTTTTAACAGGCTTTTCTTTCTTTATTTCAGTGAGATGTAATTTAAAGCAATAATAGTCCGTGAGCATGTTATTCTCAAGGTGGATTGAAGCCTTATCTATAGAAAAGGACTCTCCTTAATCCTGTTTGACACCTGTATCTTGAACACGCTTTGGTCTGATATGAATACTGGGATTCTTGCTGTAGTTTGACTTGCTTGGTAGACCTTTGCTCAACCTTTTACCTTCAACCTTTCAGTGTCACTTTGTTTATCTGATGTAAATAGCTAGAGTTCGTTTTTTGAAACACAATCTGAAAGTCTCTTCCTTTTGATAATGAGTTTGGCCTATTTGAACTTCTGGTCAGAATCATTATATGTGGTCTGCACTGATCTGTTTTGTGCTTTCTGGTTTTCATGTTTGTTTTCTGTTTCGAAACATGGATGAGATTTCCTTTGTTTTATTTTTGTGTTTCTGCAGCTTCAGGTTCTGTTTGCATTATGGTATATTTACCACTGAGTCATTCAAAGCATTCTTTAGCTTATATCTACCTAATTATGAAACTCATGAGCAAAATGGTCTCTTTTGAGTCCCTCTCCTAGTTAACACCAGGAGTTAAGCACCCTTCTTTTAAAAAATTCATCTCTTCTTAGGCCTGTGAAGGTAATTTGGATTTTTATATCTCAATTATGCCTATTGCCGTATCTATTTTTGCATTATGTATAAAATTATATGTAATTTTTGCATCTGCATACACTTTTATAACAATTATTTAGACTTTGCTTTCCTTCCATGGGTTCCAATGATCCCTGCTCAGCCGTTTCTGTCATGACCTCAGCTGTAAAGTATGCCATCGCTTTTGGCTGGTTGACATCAGACTTCAGGATTAGCTTCAAGAAGGGGACCTGGCTGGAACATCGTGTGAGCCCCATACAGTGCAGAATACCTCCCAGTTGCTCCACTGTCTCTGGGATTTAATGCTTCAGAGGAGTCAGAGAGTGGCCTGGTTTTTGCATCTCTATGGGAAGTTTGTTTTTTTCCTGGCCTAGATATTTGTAAGATTTTCTCCACTAAGTATGTCAAAATTTTGGCAAAACCTGTCTAAGTATGACTCTCTTTTCACCAGTTATGCTAGAATGCAGAAGCTGGCTAGTTTGCTCATATAGTCTGTACATTTCCATATAAAATTGTTGTAGTTCAAAAACTGTAGAATAATGGAAATTTTGTATGGCCCAATCTACAGTACTAGGTCTGTCTTGAGCCCGCTTAAGTTTGTTTCCTAGTAAAAAAAAAAAAAAAAAAAAAAAAAAAATTCTTATTTGAAAACAGAAAAATTGTGGAGACTATATACAGAGTTCCCATACAACCCCTCATCCAGTTTTCCCTATTATTAATGTTTTATATTAGTATTTTGTGCATTTGTCACAATGAATAAATATTGATGTTATTATTAGCTAACACCCATTCTTTAATCAGATTTCCTTAGTCTTTTTCTCAAACATCCTTTTTCTATTCCTGGATCCCATCTAGAATATACCACATTATATTCAATTGTCATGCCTCCTTCAGCTCCTTTTGGCTAAGGCTTTCTCTATTTTTGATGAACTAGACAGTTTGGGGGAGTATTGGTCAGGTATTTTGTAGGATGGCCTTCAACTGTAATTTGTCTGATGTTTTTCTCATGGTTAGACTGGGGTTATGGGATTTGGGGAAGAAGACCACAGAGGTAAAGTTATTCCCATCATATCATGTCAAGGGAGCTTTCAATGTGACTTATCACTGCTGATGTTGACCTTGATTGCCTCGCTAAGGGAACGTTTGTCAGGTTTCTCGACCGTCAAGTTATTCTTTTTTATCCCCCCTTCTCCTACTGTACCCTTTGGAAGGAAGTAACTTAAGAAGTGTGTAGTTATGACCTACCTCTTTGGAGTGTGAAGTATCTATGTAAGTTATTTTGAATTCTTCTGTGTAGGAGGTTTGCCTATATTCTCCCATTTATTAGTCAATCATTTACATAATAGTAAACTTGTGGAGATTTATTTTATACTTTGGGTTATATTCTAATACTACTTTAATTTTTTGTGTTCAAATTGTTCCAGCTTTGGCCATTGGGAGCTCTTTCAATTGGCAACTGTACTCCCTTGATACAGCCCCACCAGTATGTGTGTTATTCCTTACCTTCTGGTATTACAAAATACTCCAGAATCATCTTGTCTATTTCCTGCCCCATAGAACCAGCCATTTGTCTAAGGAGCCCTGGTTCCTTTTACTGGAGAATGGTGTTAGGAACCAAAATCTGGGTGTTAGGTGTGCTCATTGCTACTGTTTCTACTGTTTTGGATTTTGATTCTGTTTCTTTTGTCCTGGTTTTCCCTTAGGAAAACTCCCTTCTCCAGTATCCACAACTGTTATCCTTTATCTCACTGGATTGATCTATTTGGCGATTTCCTCTGAATTCTGGGAAAGTATCTCAAGTTTGCCCTCCACCTTACTGATTTTTATATTTCTCGGCTTTAATTCTGCTCTCTACTACCTCCAATGCAGACTCCAGTTCTACTATTTGATATCTGGTTTTCTTGTCTGTCCTCTGTACCTCCTTCTCCATCTTATCCCACAATAAATCAGAAACTTGCTTTTCCTCTGAGATTTCCAAAAGTAACTACCTTCCCGTTGTTCCTGAGTATTATGTCCTTGTAGCCTCTGTTGCACTTTGTCCAGACTTGGTATTTCATTCACACACACTCAACAAATTGTTGAGCAAATTACGTTGGGTTTTAGGTGATGGGAAACAGAAGAGTGACCAAGACAGACAGAAATTTCTGCTTCCTGGAGCTTACATTCTAATGGGAGGAGACAGATGATAAAACACCAGGTAAAATGAATAGAAGTCCAGATATTGTTAGAGGTAACTAGTTAGGTCAAGGTCATACTAGAATAGGGGAGGCTCTTATCTAACATGATCAGTGTCCTAAAAAGACAATATAAAGAGAAGAGAGGACATGCCATGTGTGGCAGAGATTGGTGTGATGCAGTGGTGAGCCACAAACTGCCAAGGATTACTGGTGACGCCAGCAGCCAAGAGAAAGGCAAGGAAGAGCCCTAAGCCTTCGAGAGAGTACATTCTGTTGTTATAAACCACCTAGTTTGTGATACTTTGTCGCAGCAGTCCCAGGAAATGAAAATAGATATCAATCAGTGAAATGGAGGAGAAAATTAGCAGAAAGGGACAAGTGGGAGTTGGAGGAACAGGGATTTCAATTTTTAAATAAAGTGTTCAGGGAAAGCCTCGGGGAGAAGGGGATGACTGGACAAAGACTGCAAGAGGTACAAGAAGGAGCTGTGCAGGTGTCTGGGTGAGGGGAGCCTTTGCCAACAGATGAGTACTCTGTCATTAGTGCTGCTCTCCTGGCTTATGTGATACTGAAATCCTTTCTCAGAAGTACGTGCAGAGCAGTGGAGAAAGCTGGGCCATGACATTGCCCAGACCTGGGTTTGAATCCCAACCCACCATTTTTCAGCTGGGTGTCTTGGGGTAGTTGCTAACCTCTTTGAGTCTCGAGTCCACATCTGTGAAACAGGGATACAAAAATTCCCTCCATCTGAGGGCTTTGGGGAGGACGAATTGAGCAAATAAAGGTGAAGGGCTCTGCACAGGGCCTGGCCTGTGGTCAATGCACTGGAAAGGTGGCTATTTCGGCTGTTATTTTCATTATGGTTAATGTCGTTGCTACTTCTGTTGGAGTTGGCTGGTTGATGGGTAGAGAGTCCAGTTCCATCTCCAGTTGCTCTGCTCTGCACACAAAGGTTCTTTAAACATTAAAGTCCATAGATGCTGGGCCTCTGGAGCTCAGGGAGCTATTTCAAGTGCCCACCATGGGGAGATGCCTCTGCATGTGGCAGGAGAATGTCAGCGCAGCTGCAGGCCCTCCCCTCCTCTCCCAACCCTGCCCCAGATGCTTCCTGCAGAGCAGCCACCCCACCCCTGAATCCTCCAGGCCCAACACAGCCTGTGACACTGCAGGGGGGAGACCTGGCTCCAGCCACCTGGGCTGTCAAGCAGGCCCTTCCCTGACTACTGTGTCCTCATCTGCAGAGGCTCCCAAGGCTGAAATGTGACCCGCAGGCTCTGTATCTGCTCTGGAGGAGGTGGTAGACAACTGATATGTTGCTTCCCTTGCTCCCCTTCTCTGGGCTTTGGGCTCCCCATCTGTGAACTGGAGGATTTAGAAGGCAACTGCTCTAAGCTGCTACCTGCTCTGACTGGTGTAACCTGGGACCCACACAAGACAGAAGGGACATATCTGCAGTTGGCATCTGGGGTCTCCATGCTAATGACTTTAAGTGAGGGCCTGAAGGAATGGAGGAGAGGGAAAGAGGAATTTGATAGCTCTGATGACACTGGCACCTGCTTACAAACCTCCAGGAAGTCCCCAGGATAACATATCAAACTTCTAAGCTTGGCATTCAAGGCTCCTGGGAACTGACTTCTGTTTCAGCCTCCCTTCTACCCCACTCCAGGTACTTCTGCCTCTGTGGAATTCCTGCTGATTCTAAGCCATGATGAGCATGGCTACCCTACCCTCTGATCTTCCCTCCTACCGTGCTGGGCTCCTGTAGGAGGGGATCCCTCTCTTCCTCCTCCACCAAATGTTGTCTCTTTTTGGAACCTTGTCTGAGCACTCTCCCCAGGTGGGATGAGTCACTTCCTCCCTTTGTTCCCAGGCCCCTTTGTTCCTGTTTCCCCTGAGAGGTCTCTGTCTTCTTCACCATGCTGGGAGTAACCTGAGGACAAGGTCAAGGCCGATGATGTCTATGAGCCCAAGAGAGGGTCTGGTGCGTAAAAGCTGTTTGAGAGAGTATGCAGAAGGAATGGACAAATGAAAATTAGAGACTGACTTACAACTGGGGAAACTTCTCGTTGACCCTTTCTGTTCCTAAAGAGAGTGTCACCGGATAGGGGTCAGGAGCCTGGGCTTTCAGTTGCAACAAGAAGACTTCTTTGCTGTGGGCTTTCTGAAAGACAGTTCCTCTCTCTGTGACTCTTCAAAACAGACATGACAATCATGTGTGCCCTGCTTGCCCCTGAGGCTGCGTTGAGAGATATAAAACCATCAGGAAAGTGCTCAGTGGCTGTGCACCTGCAGCCAGCACCTCTGGCCAGTGTTGGAGAGCAAGGAAGGGAAAGCCAAGGGAAGCCAATTCCTGGGAGCTTCTCCTGTCTGGGATGCCAAGGTGGAAATGAACTTGAGACCCAGACCAAACTTGAGGCTCTTTCATAGTCAGGTAATTTGGGCACCCAGGGCATTGAGATCAGTCTGCCATTCACCCTGTGGCTAGCCACACCTACCTTCAGCTTTTTGACACTGGTACAGGGATCGTTGGAGAAGCTCTCGGTGTCTGAAATCTCAATGTCCTCGCCATACAGAACTCCAGTCAGGTCATTCCGCACCTGTCAGCAAAGAGAAAGCAGAGGGTGGGTGTGCTGGGGACCACAGGAAGGGCCAGTTCCGAGGGGTCACCCTGGGGAAGTCAATTGGGCAAAGCGATTTTCTCTACCGACAATGCAAAGTGAGTGGTTTTGTTTTACATTATTAACTAGACCGCCCCACAAAAACTTGAGGATCCCCCAGTCCCACCCTGCAACTGACACATGGATACAAGGAGGCCAGACAGGGAAGGGACTTTCCAAGATTGCCCAGGGAGTTCCTGCAAGAGTCAAGATTAGCACCTTTGCTGGTGTTTCTCCACCACATCACACTGTCTCCAAATCAGGCTATTCAATTGTGTCTTTGTTAATATTTTGCACTATTTATTTGCAACATTATTTCACTTTTATGGTGAGGAAATAGCTAAGATATTCAAAGACAATATAGAGTAAAGGAAAGAGGAAAGAAGTATGGAACCTGCCTATGATGTTACACGTAACTATGTGTCTACTGACACTCAGAATGAGGAATATCTATGGATGTGAAAAGCAAAGGGCTGCAAACTCCAGTGTTACCAGGACCAGCCAGTGTGTGAACTAGCCTGTGTGGAAGGATATTACAGAATGATAGGGCTGGGCGTGGGCTCACACCTGTAATCCCAGAGCTTTGGGAGGCCAAGACGGGGGGCTTGCTTGAGCCCAGGAGTTCAAGACTGCAGTGAGCCGTGATCACGCCACCGTACTCCAGCCTGGGTGACAGAACAAGACCTTGTCTCAACAGAACAAAACAAAACAAAAGACAGTAATAGTTGGTTGCTGAGTTAGAATGTGGGTCAAGGGTTACCAGACCTTCTGATTTTTGAGGGGAGAAATCAGAAATTTAGACTTTTAAAATATAAAATCCCCTAATTTTTAAATGTTGATACTATTTTGAATTAAAAAAAAAAGAAAGTAAGGATCAAACCAAATAAACTTAAAGTCTGTATCTGGCCTGTGGCCATGGCTGTGCACCCTCTGACATATAGCAATGGAAACTGGATTTTGGGTTTTAGTAGCAAGAACTAGGCTGGGGTTAGGGGATCCAGCTTCCAGGTCCTGCTCTATCACTGACTTGCTTGTGACCTCAATCTCTCGTGTGATTCTTCCCTTCTCTGGGCCTCAGTTTCTTCCGCTTTAGGAGATGCTTAAAGCACTTCTTGTTCACACCCATTAGCATGGCTATTACCAAAAAGCAAAACCACAAGTGTTGGTGAAGATGTGGAGAAACTGGAACCCTTGTGTGTTGCTGGTGGAAATGTAAAATGCTGCCACTGCTGTGGAAAACAGTATAGCAGCCCCTCAAAAAAATAAATATAAAATTACCACATGATCCAGCAATTCCACTTCTGGGCACGTACCCAAAAGAATTGGAAGCAGGGACTTGACAGACATTTTACACCCATGTTCATAAGAACATTTGTTCACTGCAGCTAAAAGGCAGAAGCAGCCCAAACGTTCACTGCTCGATGAATGGATAAATGAATTGTGGTGTATACAGACAGTGAAATACTATTCAGCCTTCAAAAGGAATAAAATTCTGACACATGCTACAACATGGATGAGCCTTGAAGACATCATGCTACATGAAATAAGGCAGACACAAAAGGACAAATATTGTATGACTCTATTCATATGAGATACTCAGGTTAGTCACATTTATAGAGACAGAGAGTAGAATGGTGGTTACCAGCAGCTGAGGGAAGGAGGGGGTGGGGAGTGATTGTTTAATGGGCACAGAGTTTCAGTGTGGAATGAAAAAAAAAGTTCTGCAGATGCAGTAGTGATAGTTGCACAAACATGTGAACATACTGCTACTGAACTGTACCCTTATAAATGGCTAAAATGATAAATATTCTGCTATGTATATTGTATCACAATAAAAAAGAACTTCTTATTTCAACACTTGGTGGATCCTTGTAATGTATACATCAGAGCATTTTGGATAATCTGGCCTTAAATGTCACAGGATGGTCAACACCAAGGAAGGGAGACAAAACAGACTGTGATGGGAGCTGCCATCTTTTATTTCTTTGACAGAAATATGAAGCAAATGGAGCAAATGTGAACATGTAATCATTCTGGCTAGCAAGTCCTTGGGTGTTTATTTTATTCTGAATGCTTGAAATGCCTTGTGATCAATGTTTTGTAAAAAGAAAGATGCTGTCACAGTCAGCGTGAACCTTGTCCATCCTTCGTTTTTACCTCAATTTGATGGAAGATTGGTAACTAGTCAATGGGGGGAAAAAGTTAACTTTTCCATTAGAGTTTATTTCTGCTGTCTCAAATCCTTCTGGATACAGGTGGGCCCCATGATGAGTTTTGAGCAGCACGAGGTGTTGTGGAACAACAGTCATTATTAAACAGGGAAAACATGCACATGTGGCCCTCCTGGGAGGAGCTCAATGCGTGAGCTCCTGGAAACGCACAGTCTAGCCTTGGCTCTCCACTTGCATGGCACCCACATTCCAAGAAACTACCCAAACTCTCAAGTCTCAGTTTTTACACCTATAAGATGGGGGCAATACAGCAAGTAGCTCATGGGGTTGACTCAAGGCTCAGCAAAAACACTGAATATGTGGAATGGCTTTGTAAACTCTAAAGTTCTACACACCACTTAGAAGTTGGAGTGATCATTCCCAGGCAAATGGCAAGGCATCAAGGCTGCAGTAGCTTTGGTATCCACATGTGTGTATTAATGTGTGTATGAAAGCTATATATAAACATGGCAGAATAAAATGTTTTATAGGTGGTCAGAACTCAAAACGAATAGACAAAACACACCCTAGAGGTCATCTCATCCCTCCCCTCATTTCACAGATGAGGAAACTGAAGTGTGATTCCCAGTCCTGGCTGGCTCTTCTGGATTCTGCCAGATGTGGACAGTTTCGGAGGCCCGATGAACCAGAACAGGCCAGAACAGATGGTCAGTGAGGTCAGCCACTCACCGCCCATAATCTCAGCACCAAGGAGTCTATGCTCACCTCAAGTATTTATCCTAATGGACTTTCTGGGGAAAGCAAATGGAGGCAGTCAGTAATATTATAAATGGCATTTTAAAGTGACAAAAGCATGGAAAAGAAATAATGTAATAGATCTTCCTCACAAGGGAAAACAATTTACATGCTCCTTAAGTGGGTAGAAAGACCCTTTAGTGCACTGATGGAAGATTTACTAAGAAAATTTATAAATGCCTAGGTTTCCTTCTGGAACTGCAGTTATCTCTTGTTTAAAACAGAGCCAGGCCAGGTGCGGTGGCTCACGCCTGTAATCCCAGCACTTTGGGAGGCCAAGGCGGGTGGATCACCTGAGGTCAGGAGTTCAAAACCAGCCTGGCCAACATGGTGAAACCCCGTCTCTACTAAAAGTATAAAAATTAGCCAGGCATTAGTGGCACGTGCCTGTAATCCCAGCTACTTGGGAGGCTGAGGCAGGAGAATCACTTGAACCCCGGAGGCAGAGGTTGCAGTGAGCCAAGATCGCACCACTGCATTCCAGCCTGGGCAACAGAGCAAGACTCTGTCTCAAACAACAACAGCAACAACAAACAGACGAAAACAAAAAAAACTGGAGCCAATATCTTGCCATTAACTACATTTCTGCAAAATGATTTCCTTTTTTCTATTAATCTCCTTTATAAAAATAGAAGTACATTCTTCTGGGAAAGGAATAACTCTTAATTCCCAATAAAATACACTCACACACACAACACACTCACATACACACAAAGAATGGCAGGGGGTGCCCCTGGGGGCCTAATCTGCATATTGGGCCAAGTGAGGCAGCCACCAGGAGTCTGATTTGCTGAAAGCTCTGGGCATCCTGGGAGGGATGGGGAGAGATGGGTAATGATGGGCAGGGGAGGTTAGAAGGCTGCCCCTCACCTGGAAGGGAGCCCCAGGAGGGCAGGAGACACAGATTGACAGGGAGTGAGGAGTGCTGTGAGCAGGCACCAACGGCTGCTGGAAAGGAGGTAAGGAAGGACTGGGCTCCCTAAAGGCCAGGGCCTCTGGGGCTACCCAAAGGGGAAAACTCTCCCTGTTTCTGGAGCAGCGGATCCAGGACCTGGCCAAGGAACAAATCCACAAGGAGCCGAAGACATTCGGCATGGAGAGAATGGATGGGTCAGAGCCCCTGGAATAAATAATCTGCGATAAGAGGCTTGGAGGCAATAGTTGTTGACTTGACACCTCCTCCCCACCCCCGCTACAAGAACTGGTGTGGCCCATCCATGTGAGTTCGTGCCAGAAAGCATGTCCCTGAAGCAGTGGTTCTCAAACAGTGGCCCCTGCACCAGTAACACCAGCACCATCTGAGAACTTGCTAAAAATGCAAACTCTCCAGCTCTACCCAGAACTACTGAATCAGACACTCCAGGGTGGGGTCCAGCACCCTGTGTTTCAACAAGCTCTCCAGGTAATTCTGATACATGTTTAGAGAACCACATTCTAAACAAAGCAGGATAAGTTTTAAGTAAATGATTGATAATTGTGAGAAAAAAATTTTAATGGCTTGGATATTTTCCCCTCGGTTAGGAGACCAGAATGTATTAACTGAGCAAGGCAATTAACAAAGGGTGATTAAGACTAGGAACCACTGCCCCCCCCCCTTCCCCGCCCCCTGCTCCTTTTTTTTTTAATTAATTAATTTTTTTTTGAGACAAAGTCTCACTCTTTCACCCAGGCTGGAATGCAGCAGCATGATCTGGGCTCACTGCAATCTCCGCCTCTCAGCTTCAAGCGATTCTCCTGCCTCAGCCTCCCAAATAGCTGAGATTACAGGTGCCCGCCACCACACCCAGCTAATTTTTGTATTTTTAGTAGAGACGGGGTTTCGCCATGTTGGCCAGGCTGGTTTCAAACTCTTGACCTCAAGTGATCCACCCGCTTTGGCCTCCCAAAGTGCTGCAATTATAGGCGTGAGCCACTGCACGTGGCCAGGAACTATTTTTAAAACATATCACATCTAGAATGAAGGAAGGGACAATCCCTCTCTGTCGTCCATCTCAGACCACACCTTGAGCACTGGGCTCAGTTCTGCTTGCCTTTATCAGGGTAGCAGCAAAGTGGTTCACACTCAGAGGACAGTTTTAAGTAAATGATTGATAATCTAGGACAGGGACCAAGAACCCTTTAGGGAGACCACAGGCACGGGCTGATGGAGAGTGTAAAGGTCACAAAGGGTGAGACCAATGACTCCTCAGGCTCCCACGCAGCTTTGGGAAGCAAACAGCCAAATGCAAGAATGTTAATATTTCAACTCAGACTTCAAGTTCTAGGAAGTCCCACATTTTTCATAAAGCTAAGAGCCAGGAGAAATCCATGGCTTTGAGGGAAAGCCAGCAGTGGGGACAGCCTCACTCATGCTGAGCAGGAGAAAATGCCGCCAGGTCAGATCAGCTGTCTGAACAGCAGAGACGAGCGCGTCTGCCCACAACCTCCCTCCCAGCTGGTTCACGGTGCTGTGGTGAAGAGAGTGACAGGGACTTGTCACTCCAATAAAGCCATCACAATGGCTTCGTTCCTGCAACTGACTGAGCACACAACCTCCGTCCACACACTAGACATGGGAGTGCAGTCTTTATCCATGCCTGCAAGACATAGGGGGAGAAGGGGAGGGGTTGGAGGAGGAAAAGGAGATCAGAGAAAAAGGTGGAAAGCAAATGGAATTGGGAAGGGAGTGCAGGTAAACGGATGACTCGGAAGAATCTTCTCACTCAGCATTTAATTGAGTCCATGTGACCTGTTTAAGCCTAATGTGGGTCTGCACTGTCCCATCAGGGAGGCTGGTCCCCACTTCTGAGAAGGCCACAGTGCCACTCCACTGCAAGGCCTCCTCCCTGCTCTGAAGCCTGCACCTCTCCATTAAACACAGAACAGCTGCCAGAGGACGCCGGGTACTGCCCTCTCTCTAGAATCACCCAGCCTTGGGTTTATCAAATCACTGCATGACCCACCGCTTCAGTGTGTGGGCCAGCCTGTTCTCTCCACCCACACTGTCTCTGCTTTAGGGCCCCAAGACTGTATCTGCATGCCCTGCCAGGCTCCTAACCCCTGCAACTCCCTGCTACCCACAGGTAGGGCCAGTGAACCCCTGGCTCCTATGAATCCCCCCGCTTGGCACTGGACACTCCTGCCCTCCATGGATGCAAGGTGAGGGGCCTGAGGTCAGGAGCCCTGGGGTGCAGCCCCCAGTCAGCCTGGAAAGGGACCTTCTCTGACCTCAGGCTCTCAATCTGAGCTCTTGCTTCATTCCTGGGACTGAAATTCTCTCATGCCCAGTCACTGCCTGGCTTCTGAACTTGAGTACCTTTCCGAGCAGCCACTCACCACTTTGGATTTTCCAGAATGGGCTCTGTTTGTCCCTACCAGTCCCACTACTTCATTCACTCACTTATTCACCCACTCATTCATTTCTGATATTGACATCTCTTCTGTTTCAGGAACCGTCTGAGGTAGGACTGGGCCTCTAAAGACCAAAAATGTTCACTGTCCTGGATCTCTGTCTAGTGAGGGCAAGAGGCATTCATCAGCTGACTGTCCCAGGGAATGTGTAAATGTTCACTGAGACAAGGACGCTCAAGTTCAGGGGCAGGCTCCTGGGAGAGGCTGTAGCAGAGAAGTCAGCCCCAGGCCAGGAGGTGGGGCAGGGAAAAGGATTCCAGGCCGAGGAGCAGCATGTGTACTTCCTGTGACGGGAGGGAGCTGGTGGAGAAACTAAAAGAATGTCCTAGCGGGCTTAATGCAGAGCCTAAAGCAGGGCTTGAGGGAGGCTGTCGGAATGAACTGAGAAAGAGGTGGGTGAGGGCAGCCCACACAGGCCTTCCAGTTCACGTGAAGGATCAGGTCTCGGCCCTAAGCACAGTGGTAACCCATGATGAAGTTTTAAGTGATGGAGTGACATTATTAGAACTATGATTTGAGACAGTTGCTCAGGCTTCTGTGGGACCTCTGAGGGGCAGGGACATGAGGGGAAGAGGAAGGGCAGGGAGGGGCTCCAGCAATGGTCCGGGAGAGGGATTCTGGAGGCTAGATGATATGATATGGGAGGTGGCAAGAAGTGATCGGCTTGGGGGTACATTCAGGACAACTAATAATCTGTATTAGTCATCTACTGCTGTGCAACAAATTATCCCAAAACGTAGCAGCTTAACCAATACACATCCACTGTCCCCCACAGTTTCCATGGTGAGGAATGGGGAGCAACTTAACTGGGGGTTTCTGGCTCAGGGTCTTTCAGGAGGTTGTGGTTAGGATGCTGGCTGGGGCTGCCGTCACCTAAAGACTTTGGGACTACATGTTGGAATCACCTGGGGAGTTTTAGAAACTGCTGATGCCCTAACTGCCTCCTAAACCAATCAGAACCTCTGGGATAGGACCCAGGCATCTGTATTTTTAGAGCTTTCCAGGAGTTTCCAATGTGTAGCTAAAGTGGCTACTGATTGGGGTAAGAGCAACAGAATCATCAAGCTTACAGCTGGGTTGCCAGCCTGTCTGAAAACCCCCGAGCCCCCTGTCCCCATCTCCTCCAGACCCAGGGCACCAGGATTGCTCCCCTGCTCTCTCCTGCCCCCTCTAGTAGGTACATCTCATCTTTAATCCTCAGGCCCTTCTACTCCTGGCCCTTAGCACCCCGAGCAGAACCTGACTATGGCAGAGGAGAAAATGGAGAGAAGGAAAGGAGGCAGGAAGACATGAGACAGAAAGCAAGAAAGGGAGAAGAGAGAAGCAGAATATTGTTATAGCAACTTGCTACTGCATTCAGACCACGTGTCCCACACAGAGAAGGCTCCCATGGGCAAGTGAAATTCACAGCCAGTGGCTGGAGGCTGCAGAGAGCTCCAGAGATCTCAAGGCACTCAGCTTCTATGGCCAGTAGTTCCCCAGACAACTTCCCTAATGAGGCTACTGCACCAGCAGAGGAACCATCCAGAAAGGCACAGATCCAGGTAAAGATGGGGAGAACCAGGGCTGCACCACATGCACTTTACAACTCTTTGAAAATTCTAATTAGGTTACGAAATGAACTTGAGAGCAAAGCGAATTCTCAGCTCTCCTATGGAAGCTGAGGTAACCTACTTTGTCATTCAAATGCACTTGCTATATATAGCCATGAATTGTGCCGAAATGTCACTCCTCTTACCTGACTAAAGTGTATAATTATAGATTTACTTCTATTCATTCATGAAATGTGTCTTCACTTGATTAAACAGTTCATTCAAGGAAAATCCATTAAAATATGGAACATGTTAAAATGTGGCTCCTTAGAGGCAGAGGGCACCGCTGTAGCTAAGATGCTAATTAGGATAAACAGGCATTTGAAACACTCAAATCTTTGAATAATTCAGGCCACTTTTACTGGGGCTGGAGCTCCCCAGGAACTGCCATTAATTTAAGCTAATTAAAAAATTAGCCTGGAGAGGTGTAGACCAAAGCCGACTTCAAACACAGGAGAGCTGTCATGTAGAGGGGGGGCACCAGGTTCTGCGCACCCCCGTGGTGCTGGAGCACCAACAGGTAAGATGGTTCAGGAAATTAGATTTTGGCCCAATGCCAAAAAACCCCATAGCTTTCTAATGACGGAGAAGGTGGCTTTGATAGATAGTGAGGTCTTTCAAAGAATTGGGGCATATGCTTAAAAACTTATCCATGTGGTGTATTTCTGCCTGTCCAACCTGATGTGCATTCATTAAGAGAGCATTCCTTCTGAGAAATGGAGCCACCTACTTTTTAGATTTCTACAAATAAGTTCGCTCTTAATCATCTGTAACCAGATTTGAAAGTAAGTGAAAAAAATGTAAAGGGCAAGTGTGTAACTGAATATGTATTAGATCTGCTGCACAAGGGGAATAGCTGTACTTGGGGAATGCCTGTGGGTATATATCCAGCTGTATCCAGGTGTGTGTGTGTGTGTGTGTGTGTGTGTGTGTGTGCATGTGCGTGTGTGACCCATGCATGTTCACAGTGCAGAGCCAGTGGCTTGAAATGTGACCTCCAAAAAAGATAGGTCTAAGTTCTAACCCTGACAACTTGTGAATGTGACCTCATTTGGAAAAAGGGTCTTTGCAGACGTAATTAACTGAAGGATCTTGGGATGAGATCATCCTGGATAAATCCAATGTTAAGGATTCTTATAAGAGAAAGGCAAAGGGAGACTTGGGGCACAGAGACATGAAGGGGAAGTCCACGTGAAGACAGAGGCAGAGGGTGGAGTGATGCATCTGCCGGCAAGGAGCACCTGGAGCCACCAGAAGCTGGGAGATGCAGGCAAGGATTCTCTCCTAGAGACTCCAGGGCAAGCCTGCTGACACCTTCATTTAGGACCTCTGGCCTCCAGAACTATGAGACAATACATTTCTGTTGTTTTAAGCCACCTAGTTTGTGGCGATTTGTTTCGGCAGCCACAGGAAACTAATACACCTGGGGCAGGTTCCCATGGAGAAGCCTGGGCTTCCTATCCAATCTAGATGCTCACATCACATGTCAAGGCCTCTGGAATGGAACCCCAGTTTCCCTCTATTTGATGGCACCATTTGTCTGTCCCAAAGATATATGGTATTTCTTACATCTCCAGAATTACCAAAAGCAGGGAAACAAGTGGAGGACCATACGCTGTGCATCGTGGAAATGTGGGTGCCTGGGACAGGGGCGCTGGCCTCATGGAGCTTCAGTGGAGGGCTCAGGAGTCTGCATCACTGACTTTGAGTTGACTTGCAAAGAGATGACCATGAGTATGGGGGCTGTAACATTTTCTTCCCCATGGACGTGTCAGCTCCAGGAGGGAAGCACTTGGTTTGTTTTGATCTCAGGATCCTGTGTAGTGCCTGGCATATAGTAGGTGCTCAGAATTGTGGTGAATGAGAGCATGGATGAGTGCATGCTGAGGCTGCACCATGGCCACCCACTCTTAGATGGAGGAGGTTAATATTCCAAGCCCACTAGACCCATCTTGAGCTGGTCTCGCAGGGATGAGGCAACTTCGCAAGGGCTGGGCTGCATGCTGAGGCTGAAGACCCAGTCTGCAGACACAGGGGTGAGTCCCAGGGGCAGCGCTAGCTGGAACTCTATCAGGGCCCCAATGAAGGAAGAAATCTGGGGAGAGCTGTGGTGCTCTGGGGGCACCCCTGTGGGGACATATGGGGCCTGAGGGCAGCTGGAGTTCCCTGGGGACAGTTCCCTGCCTCTCTCACAATGGCAGAGAGTGTCAGGCACCTGTGACCTGAGACCTGCCCAGCTACACACATCAAGACCTCATGGCAGCTCCTACCTGCTGGGAGTCCAGCTGGCCTACATGGCAATTGGGAGCAGAGATCCCACCTGGTAGAGCTACAGGCCCTCACACCCAACCCACAATGCCAGCTGTCAGCACTATCACTGCACTATGAAAGTCCTCCAGAGGGAGGGCAGGGAGGCTGTAGGCTGCTCCTCTCCCCAGCCCACCACTGCTCCTCGGAGGCCTGTCTCCCAGAACCACATACTGTAGGGGAGAAACGCACCCTCGGCCCAATTTCAAGAAGGCAACTGGGGCTGCTCTGGCTTTCAAATCAAATCAAATCCCTCTTTCGATCAGCCAGGCTGATGGAAAACTGATTTCTCAGTTTTAGAAATTCCAAAGAATCATCAGTGATGGATAGAGTCATGCCCTTCCCCCAACAATGTCCATGTCCAAATCCCTAAAATATGTTACCTTATGTGGCAAAGGGGACTTTGCAGACAGGATGAAGTTAAGGATGTCAAGATGGAGCAACCATCTGGGATTATCCTGGTGGCCCAACATGATCCCAAGGGTCTTTATAAGGGAAGGAGGGAGGTAGAAAAGTCAGAGTCAGGGAAGAAATTTGTTCAAAGATGCTCTGCTGCTGGCTTTGAAAGTGGAGGAAGAGGCCAGGAACCAAGGCTCACGGGCAGCATCTAGAAGGTGGGAAAGGCAAGGAAACATTCTCCCCTAAAGCCTCCAGAAGGAACCAGTCAAAATCAAGAACACCTTGATATTGACCCAATGATTTTGAACTTCTGATCTTCAGAACTATAAGATAATAATTTGTGTTGTTTAAAGCCACTAAATTTATGATGATTTGTTGCAGCAGAACAGGAAACTGATACAATAAGCTTTCACCCTGAGATCCCATACATCTTGAAATGCCAACATGCTGTTTGAAGCCTTCCCTTGTTCCCAGGCTAGCAGTGACTTATCCTCTGAACTCCACAGTCCTGGGCTCAAGATCCCTCTTCTCGGCTAAACAGAATGAATGTCCTGATATCTCACACACCTTCCATCTGGGACACCTCTTGCCCCTCCAGATGCCTAGCACAGGGGCTGCCTGAGGAAGCAGGACCAGGTCCAAGCACCTTTCTTGGATAATGCACAAAAATTTCCTGTTGGGCATCCCCAACCATCAGTCTTCCCTTTGGCCCTCATTTTTCAAGGACCTCACCCACTCTAGGAGCAGTCGGTGAAGTCAGGCTATGCTGAGCTGTTGGGGAATGAAATTAGCCATCAGACCTTATTGCTTTCCTTGTGACAAACTGCCCATTGCTTTAATTGTTCCAGACTCGAGGGACCAAACCAATGTTTACAAAAACACTGGGTATTAATAAAACAGGGAGGCTATATAGTTAAGGTGATGAATAGAAACTTCTATAGGAAATCAGCAATATGCAAAGTGAGCCTCTGACACCAAACTAGAAGACGGATATTAAGAAATCACACCTGAGAGCACCAAAGCAAGCCCACTTCAAAACCATTCCCTGGGGAGGAGGAGCCAAGATGGCCGAATAGGAACAGCTCCGGTCTACAGTTCCCAGCGTGAGCGATGCAGAAGATGGGTGATTTCTGCATTTCCAACTGAAGTACCGGGTTCATCTCACTGGGGAGTGCCAGACAGTAAGTGCAGGACAGTGGGTGCAGCGCACCGTGCGCGAGCCAAAGCAGGGCAAGGCATCGCCTCACCAGGGAAGCGCAAGGAGTCAGGGAATTCCCTTTCCTAGTCAAAGAAAGGGGTAACAGACGGCACCTGGAAAATTGGGTCACTCCCACCCTAATACTGCGCTTTTCCAACGGGCTTAAAAAATGGCGCACCAGGAGATTATATCCCGCGCATGGCTCGGAGGGTCCTACGCCCATGAAGTCTCGCTCATTGCTAGCACAGCAGTCCGAGATCAAGCTGCAAGGCAACAGCGAGGCTGGGGGAGGGGCGCCCGCCACTGCTGAGTTAGTTGTTTGATTAGGTAAACAAAGCGGCAGGAAACTCCAACTGGGTGGAGCCCACCACAGCTCAAGGAGGCCTGCCTGCCTCTGTAGGCTCCACCTCTGGGGGCAGGGCACAGACAAACAAAAAGACAGCAGTAACCTCTGCAGACTTAAATGTCCCTGTCTGACAGCTTTGAAGAGAGTAGTGGTTCTCCCAGCATGCAGCTGGAGATGTGACAATGGGCAGACTGCCTCCTCAAGTGGGTCCCTGACTCCCGAGTAGCCTAACTGGGAGGCACACCCCAGTAGGGGCAGACTGACACCTCACACGACTGGGTACTCCTCTGAGACAAAACTTCCAGAGGAACAATCAGGCAGCAGCATTTGCGGTTCTCCAATATCCATTGTTCTGCAGCCACCACTGCTGATACCCAGGCAAACAGGATCTGGAGTGGACCTCTAGCAAACTCCAACAGACCTGCAGCTGAGGGTCCTGTCCGTTAGAAGGAAAACTAACAAACAGAAAGGAAAGCCACACCAAAAACCCCATCTGTACGTCACCATCATCAAAGACCAAAGGTAGATAAAACCACAAAGATGGGAAAAAAACAGAGCAGAAAAACTGGAAACTCTAAAAATCAGAGCACCTCTCCTCCTCCAAAGGAACACAGCTCCTCACCAGCAACAGAACAAAGCTGGATGGAGAATGACTTTGACGAGTTGAGAGAAGAAGACTTCAGATGATCAAACTACTCCGAGCTACAGGAGGAAATTCGAACCAATGGCAAAGAAGTTAAAAGCTTTGAAAAAAAATTAGACGAATGGATAACTAGAATAACCAATGCAGAGAAGTCCTTAAAGGACCTGATGGAGCTGAAAACCAAGGCACGAGAGCTACGTGACGAATGCACAAACCTCAGTAGCCAATGCGATCAACTGGAAGAAAGGGTATCAGGGATGGAAGATGAAATGAATGAAATGAAGTGAGAAGAGAAGTTTAGAGAAAAAAGAATAAAAAGAAATGAACAAAGTCTCCAAGAAATATGGGACTATGTGAAAAGACCAGATCTATGTCTGATTGGTGTACCTGAAAGTGACGGGGAGAATGGAACCAAGTTGGAAAACACTCTGCAGGATATTATCCAGGAGAACTTCCCCAATCTAGCAAGGCAGGCCAACATTCAAATTCAGGAAATACAGAGAATGCCACAAAGATACTCCTCGAGAAGAGCAACTCCAAGACACATAATTGTCAGATTCACCAAAGTTGAAATGAAGGAAGAAATACTAAGAGCAGCCAGAGAGAAAGGTCGGGTTACCCACAAAGGGAAGTCCATCAGACTAACAGCTGATCTCTCAGCAGAAACTCTACAAGCCAGAAGAGAGTGGGGACCAATATTCAACATTCTTAAAGAAAAGAATTTTCAACCCAGAATTTCATATCCAGCCAAACTAAGCTTCATAAGTGAAGAAGAAATAAAATCCTTTCCAGACAAGCAAATGCTGAGAGATTTTGTCACCACCAGGCCTGCCCTAAAAGAGCTCCTGAAGGAAGCACTAAACATGGAAAGGAACAACTGGTACCAGCCACTGCAAAAACATGCCAAATTGTAAAGACCATCAAGGCTAGGAAGAAACTGCATCAACTAACGAGCAAAATAAACAACTAACATCATAATGAGAGGATCAAATTCACACATAACAATATTAATTTTAAATGTAAATGGGCTAAATGCTCCAATTAAAAGACACAGACTGGCAAATTGGATAAAGAGTCAAGACCCATCAGTGTGCTGTATTCAGGAAACCCATCTCATGTGCAGAGACACACATAGGCTCAAAATAAAGGGATGGAGGAAGATCTACCAAGCAAACGGAAAACAAAAAAAGGCAGGGGTTGCAATCCTAGTCTCTGATAAAACAGACTGTAAACCAACAAAGATCAAAAGAGACAAAGAAGGCCATTACATAATGGTAAAGGGATCAATTCAACAAGAAGAGCTAACTATCCTAAATATATATGCACCCAATACAGGAGCACCCAGATTCATAAAGCAAGTCCTGAGTGACCTACAAAGAGAGTTAGACTCCCACACAATAATAATGGGAGACTTTAACACCCCACTGTCAACATTAGAAAGATCAACGAGGATACCCAGGACTTGAACTCAGCTCTGCACCAAGCAGACCTAATAGACATCTACAGAACTCTCCACCCCAAATCAACAGAATATACATTCTTTTCAGCACCACACCACACCTATTCCAAAATTGACCACATAGTTGGAAGTAAAGCACTCCTCAGCAAATGTAAAAGAACAGAAGTTATAACAAACTGCCTCTCAGACCACAGTGCAATCAAACTAGAACTCAGGATTAAGAAACTCACTCAAAACTGCACAACTACATGGAAACTGAACAACCTGCACCTCAATGACTACTGGGTACATAATGAAATGAAGGCAGAAATAAAGATGTTCTTTGAAACCAACGAGAACAAAGACACAACATACCAGAATCTCTGGGACACATTCAAAGCAGTGTGTAGAGGGAAATTTATAGCACTAAATGCCCACAAGAGAAAGCAGGAAAGATCTAAAATTGACACCCTAACATCACAATTAAAAGAACTAGAAAAGCAAGAGCAAACACATTCAAAAGCTAGCAGAAGGCAAGAAATAACTAAGATCAGAGCAGAACTGAAGGAGATAGAGACACAAAAAATCCTTCAAAAAATTAATGAATCCAGGAGCTGGTTTTTTTGAAAAGATCAACAAAATTGATACACCGCTAGCAAGACTAATAAAGAAGAAAAGAGAGAAGAATCAAATAGACACAATAAAAAATGATAAAGGGGATATCACCACCGATCCCATAGAAATACAAACTACCATCAGAGAATACTATAAACACCTCTATGCAAATAAACTAGAAAATCTAGAAGAAATGGATAAATACCTCGACACATACATCCTCCCAAGACTAAACCAGGAAGAAATTGAATCTCTGAATAGACCAATAACAGGCTCTGAAATTGAGGCAATAATCAATAGATTACCAACCAAAAAAATTCCAGGACCAGATGGATTCACAGCCGAATTCTACCAGAGGTACAAGGAGGAACTGGTACCATTCCTTCTAAAACTATTCCAATCAATAGAAAAAGAGGGAATCCTCCCTAACTCATTTTATGAGGCCAACATCATCCTGATACCAAAGCCTGGTAGAGACACAACCAAAAAAGAGAATTTTAGACCAATATCCTTCATGAACATCGATGCAGAAATCCTCAATAAAATACTGGCAAACCAAATCCAGCAGCACATCAAAAAGCTTATCCACCATGATCAAGTGGGCTTCATCCCTGGGATGCAAGGCTGGTTCAACATATGAAAATCAATAAATGTAATCCAGCATATAAACAGAACCAAAGACAAAAACCACATGATTATCTCAATAGATGCAGAAAAGGCCTTTGACAAAATTCAACAGCCCTTCATGCTAAAAACTCTCAATAAATTAGGTATTGATGGGACGTATCTCAAAATAATAAGAGCTATCTATGACAAACCCACAGCCAATATCATATTGAATGGGCAAAAACTGGAAGCATTCCCTTTGAAAACGGGCACAAGACAGGGATGCCCTCTCTCACCACTCCTATTCAACATAGTGTTGGAAGTGCTGGCCAGGGCAATTAGGCAGGAGAAGGAAATAAAGGGTATTCAATTAGGAAAAGAGGAAGTCAAATTGTCCCTGTTTGCAGATGACATGATTGTATATCTAGAAAACCCCATCGTCTCAGCCCAAAATCTCAAGCTGATCAGCAACTTCAGCAAAGTCTCAGGATACAAAATCAATGTACAAAAATCACAAGCATTCTTATACACCAATAACAGACAAACAGAGAGCCAAATCATGAGTGAATTCCCATTCACAATTGCTTCAAAGAGAATAAAATACCTAGGAATCCAACTTACAAGGGATGTGAAGGACCTCTTCAAGGAGAACTACAAACCACTGCTCAATGAAATAAAACAGGATACAAACAAATGGAAGAACATTCCATGCTCATGGGTAGGAAGAATCAATATCGTGCAAATGGCCACACTGCCCAAGGTAATTTATAGATTCAATGCCATCCTCATCAAGCTACCAATGACTTTCTTCACAGAATTGGAGAAAACTACTTTAAAGTTCATATGGAACCAAAAAAGAGCCCGCATCACCAAGTCAATCCTAAGCCAAAAGAACAAAGCTGGAGGCATCACGCTACCTGACTTCAAACTATACTACAAGGCTACAGTAACCAAAACAGCATGGTACTGGTACCAAAACAGAGATATAGACCAATGGAACAGAACAGAGCCCTCAGAAATAATGCCACACATCTACAACTATCTGATCTTTGACAAACCTGACAAAAACAATCAATGGGGAAAGGATTCCCTATTTAATAAATGGTGCTGGGAAAACTGGCTAGCCATATGTAGAAAGCTGAAACTGGATCCCTTCCTTACACCTTATACAAAAATTAATTCAAGATGGATTAAAGACTTAAATGTTAGACCTAAAACCATAAAAACCCTAGAAGAAAACCTAGGCAATAAGATTCAGGACATAGGCATGGGCAAGGACTTCATGTCTAAAACACCAAAAGCAATGGCAACAAAAGCCAAAATTGACAAATGGGATCTAATTAAACTAAAGAACTTCTGCACAGCAAAAGAAACTACCATCAGAGTGAACAGGCAACCTACAGAATGGGAGAAAATTTTTGCAACCTACTCATCTGACAAAGGGTTAATATCCAGAATCTACAATGAACTCAAACAATTTTACAAAAAAAAAACAAACAACCCCATCAAAAAGTGGGCGAAGGATATGAACAGACACTTCTCAAAAGAAGACATTTATGCAGCCAAAAAACACATGAAAAAATGCTCATCATCACTGGCCATCAGAGAAGTGCAAATCAAAACCACAATGAGATACCATCTCACACCAGTTAGAATGGCGATCATTAAAAAGTCAGGAAACAACAGGTGCTGGAGAGGATGTGGAGAAATAGGAACACTTTTACACTGTTGGTGGGACTGTAAACTAGTTCAACCATTGTGGAAGTCAGTGCGGCGATTCCTCAGGGATCTAGAAGTAGAAATACCATTTGACCCAGCCATCCTATTACTGGGTATATACCCACAGGACTATAAATCATGCTGCTATAAAGACACATGCACACATGTGTTTATTGCGGGACTATTCACAATAGCAAAGACTTGGAACCAACCTAAATATCCAACGATAGACTGGATTAAGAAAATGTGGCACATATACACCATGGAATACTATGCAGCTATAAAAAATGATGAGTTCATGTCCTTTGTAGGGACATGGATGAAATTGGAAATCATCATTCTCAGTAAACTATCGCAAGAACAAAAAACCAAACACCGCATATTCTCACTCATAGGTGGGAATTGAACAATGAGATCACATGGACACAGGAAGGGGAATATCACACTCTGGGGACTGTTGTGGGGTAGGGGGAGGGGAGAGGGATAGCATTGGGAGATATACCTAATGCTAGATGACGAGTTAGTGGGTGCAGCACACCAGCACGGCACATGTATACATATGTAACTAACCTGCACAATGTGCACATGTACCCTAAAACTTAAAGTATAATAATAATAATAATAATAATAAAAAAGAAAATGTGGCACATACACACCATGGAATACTATGCAGCCATAAAAAATGATGAGTTCATGTCCTTTGCAGGGACATGGATGAATCTGGAAACCACCATTCTCAGCAAACTATCGCAAGGACAAAAAAACAAACACAGCATGTTCTCACTCATAGGTGGGAATTGAACAATGAGAACACATGGACACAGGAAGGGGAACGTCACACACCGGGGACTGTTGTAGGGTGGGGGGAGGGGGGAGGGATAGCATTAGGAGATATACCTAATGCTAAATGACGAGTTAATGGGTGCAGCACACCAACATGGCACATGTATATATATGTAACAAATCTGCACGTTGTGCACATGTACCCTAAAACTTAAAGTATAATAATAATAATTAAAAAACCATTCCCTGGCTGTCTGAGCCCCATCCCTGCTCTTGTCTCTTGAAGAATGGTGGAGGGGATGGCAGGCGGCCACATGGGGAAGTCTAGGCTTGTGAGATATCACTTCGTGCATCCCTGAAGAACTGCCACCAAACCCAGGGGACTGGCGTGGCACCTGGGCCTCAGGGAAAGGGCCAGTTCCAGTGGGGGAGGCCACCAGGAAGTAGATTTCAGCTCCCTCAGAGACAGAACTTTCTAACAAGAGAATGAGCCAAGGAAGGATGGACCCTTCCCCAGGTGGGACTGAGCTCCCCGCCATGACAGGTGTGCAAGCAGAGGTGGGTTGCACAGGCTGTAGAAGGGATTCAGGCATCAGATGGAGGGGCAGACGAGACTGCTGCATCTCCAAGGAACGTCTCAAATTCTCAAACCTGAGAAGTTGCAAGAGAGGCCTCAGCCAAACTTGCCCATGGGGAGCTGCCTAGGTGGTACCTGTTCTCACCCCTGCAGAAATAGGACAGCTTCAGGCCGCTCCATAAGCTGGACGAGCAGTGCGATCAAATTGTCCACCTTTGCACTTCAAGGTGGAGTTTAAAGGACTCTTTTCTGAGACCCTGGGAAATCACTGCACTTTTTATTAGCAGCTTTCTTTCCAGTTCTGGATTCCAAAGTGGGTGATTTGTCCTCAACTTATGTTCTGCTCTAACATCCTAAGCCCCTAGCATTTGCAAACCCCCTTTCTTGGCTTCCACTGGCTCCCTTCTTCTAGGGCTTCAGATTTGGGGTGTGGAATGAGGTGAGGAACTGAAGGGCTGGGACTCGCCTTGGCACAGACAGCAAAAGGCATAGGTGCAAACTGCTCCCAGAGCCCACCTCTCCTCCTTCCCTTCCCTCCACTCCCCCTCTCCCACCCCCATCCCTCACTCCAAGCCCTCAGGGAGGAAGGGGGCCACAGGCGACACACCAGGATTGACTCTGGAGTGAATTTCATCCTCAACAATCTTACAAAGCAGATCCCATTCTTGTTTCCATTTCACAAATGAGGGACTTGAAAGATTAAGTCACTTGCCCAAAGCCTTACAAGTAGTAAGTCAGAGGGTCAAGACTGATACTCATGTCTCTCTGACTTCCAAACATCCAGGAGGGGAGAGTAGAGGAAGAAGAGAGGAAGAGCTTGGGTGGTGGCACTGGCCTGGCCCCTAGGTGGTTCCTGCAGGGAGAGGACCCAGTGAGTGGCTTTCCTCCTTGAGCATCCCTCTCTAGACTGGCAGGCCCTGGGGAGTTGAGACTGTGTTGGGGCCTCTCTGTGTATCCATGCTGGATATAAAGCCTGGCAAAAAGCAAGCGATTAGGACACACGGGAAAGAGAAGCATGGCAGAACTGGACATATCCAGGAAGCAAGGGCATCACAATCAGAGAATGGTAATAAAAGAAGGAGACAAGAACACTGAGGATGCACTCCACCTTCACCTCCTGGCCCCAAGGTCTGCAAAGGGAGCCCTCTGTCCAGCAGGCAGAGTGAGTGCTGACACTCTCAGGCCCACTCCTCATGTCTGAGAGAGGCTGAGCTCAGACCATCAGAACCAGGCTGCCACACACCAACTCACCAGCCCTCATTGGACAGCTGGGGAAACTGAAGTCCCAAGAAGAATAGAAACTTGCCCCAAATCACACAACTTTCTAGGCACGGAGCTGGGACTCAAACCCAGTTTCTTGCCTCTAGACCAATATTGCCCAAAGCCATTTATTTAACGGCAGCAACAGAACACTAAGCCCCCAAGAGAGCCACCAGTTGCAGACCTTTCAGGACCCTTTCCAAAATCCAAGACAGGCGCTGCTCCCACGCAGTACCCAGCCCCATTCCTGACCCCGAGGGTGGCACCATCTTTGGTGATCCTGGCTCCTAGCTCCTGGGTTCCAGGACCCAGCACAAGGCTTGGCACAGAGCAGTTGCCTGGTAGCGCTAAACAGACCTGGAAATCTCCCCGATATCAACCACCCTTGGGCTCAGAGTTTAGGGCAGCAGCTTCCAAGGATGCTTATGCATCTGCATCTTCCCAGGAGCTTTGTAGAAATACAGATTCCTGGGCCCCAACAGAGCGATTCAGACACTGGTACAGGAGGGAGGCCAGCAATCTGTGTTTGCACAAAATGCTGTGAGATCTTGGTTGCACGACCAGATTTGAGAGACACCCTTTTAGTGTGCTCCAGTCTGAGTGGCCCTTTAGCTTAAACTCCTTTGTTCCTAAGGGCCCTCTGATGGAGATACTACGGTGCACTGCCAGAACAGAGGCACTCATTCCGGATTTGCCCTTGAATAAAGGAGGCAGCCTCATTCAAGGTCACACACCTTCCCCAGGACCGCCTGCACCCAGTGACTGGCCCAGCCTTCTGGTCTCTATTTGGGACTTCTCTGAAGGGCCATCCTAGCTCCATAGCTCCCCATGGGCAAGCTTGGCTGAGGTTCCTTTTGCAACCTCATTGTGTGTCAGCTTCTTCCTTCACCCAGTCCCACCTTTCCCACCCCTTCCTGTGGGCACTGGCTAACAAATCTCCTGTATGCTGAGCCCCAAGAGAGTCCCTCTCCTGGCGAAACTGACCTTGAACAGGCTCGCCCTCCACCCACATATGTGTCAGCTTGGACCAAACCACTACATTGCCACCAAGTTATCAGATGACAATATTGCCTGCTGAGAGCCCGAAACGCAGCTGCTTGCTGTAGAACCCTCATAGTGACTCAAAGACTTTAAGCTTTTCAAAATAATGTCTAAACTTCATTGTAAGTGAGGAAAGGAGTAAAGTGATAAAACTATCCCTGTGCCCAGTACACTAATCCAACTAGTATAATATCTCATCATGTTGGTTATTCCCATTTGCTTTCATCCACATGCGCCAGCCTGCCCTGCCCTGCCCTGCTTTTTTCATGGAATTAGAACTTTCAGATAGGGCAGCACGTGAGTGGCCTGGTCCTCTAACTTCCAGCTGGGCTTGGCCAATGGGAGCCCGGCAGGAGTCAGAAGACCAATGAGAACCCAGTGGGAGTCAGAGGGCCAATGGGAGCCCAGCAGGAGTCAGAAGACCAGTGAGAGTCCAGAGGGAGTCAGAGGACCAGTGAGAGCCTAGCAGGAGTCAGAGGACCAGTGAGAGCCTAGCAGGAGTCAGAGGGCCAATGGGAGCCCAGTAGGAGTTAGGGAGCCTATGGGAGCTCAGTGAAAGAGAGCCAATGGGAGGCCCCAGGAGGAGTCAGAAAGAAGGCGAGAAAGAGTTCCGGGTATTTTTTACCTTGGCTGCTTCCTGGCTTGGTTAGAGCCCGTGTGAAGCGGCTGCTCCTCCCAATTCCAGTAGCTCTGCCCCTCCCCTTGTCCTCCAGAGCAGTTGATGCTCGTGACTCCAGCCATTGCTAGCCCCTGGAGCTGCAGTAGCCCTGGTTGGTTCCATTGCCTCTGCCTAAAGTACTTCATCTAAATCGGACTTCAGCTCTGAAGATGCCGTCTGTTTCTTGCCAGGACGCTAATACTGTAGATATAAGTTTTTCAGGTAGAAATTATCAAAGTATAATTTTTTATATCCATATGTTTTCACCTAAGATTATAAGATACACTTTGTAATTCATTTCACCACTGACCATGCATGCGCGAATCCCCTTAAGTTTCGGACTTCAGCCCTCCTATGTCTAAGTCCTGCTTACCCTTTAAGCCCTATGGTAAATAGCCCTTCCTCCATGAAGTCCTTCTGGATTCTCCAATGAGATGCACTCACCCCTTGTGAACACTGGCATCCCCTGCTTCTTCCTCCCAGGCCCTGCTTTCTCGGCCCTGCTCTGGAGTAACTGGGACGATCTTCAGTGATCAACAGCCCAGAGAATCCACTACAGCAGCACAGAGCATGAGGTCCCCTCAGCCCCACAGCCAGCCCAGGTGTCTGGGGGAGGATGCTGGGTTGCTCATGTATGGAGAGGATCTAAACTCTGGACAGCTCCCTCAAGGTCAGGAAAGACAGTCTGCGCTTCCCCTCCCACGAAGCCCATGGAGCCAGCCCCATCCTGTAGAGGTGCTGAGTGTGTGCCCTGGGAGGGAGCGGTGGTCTAGGTGAGCCGACTGTGTCTTGGGGTGGACACTGCACCAAAGTGCTGAGCAGGCTGCCAGCCTGGGAGCAGGGTCTGAAACTGTGCTAAACTAAGCAGATTTTATAATGTATCTTCTTACGAGCAGTACTCAGAGACTCCAGGGAACAGGTATTTACTCTGTAGAGTCTGAATGGAATTTTCCAAAGGGGACCAAAATCTAGAGGCACCAAGATTACTGTTATTGCTGCGGCTTGTTAATCTGTCCATCTGCCCCTGGGCTGTGAGCAACTGAAGGGCCTGAAGGCTCTGTCTGAGCCCCTGTCAGATTTTGGCATAATGGCCTGGCTCAGTCAGCACTGGCTGAATGAGGGAATGAATGAGACCACAGGACACCCTATGCATCTGCCTGAGGTGGGTGTCACTTAACACCTGGTGCCCAGCGTTTCAAGGGGGAGGCTTGAGGAGCATCTGTGCTTTCTCTGTGCTCCAGTGATCAGAGAAGAGCAAGGGTTCTTAGGCAGAACTGCCAGAATGCTCCAGAAGGGAAGAGAAAAATTAGAGAAGTCTGCACATCCGTGATAGACGGGAAAGGCCGGAGCAACAGTGGGGACTCATTTACTGAGTGCCTGTCATATGTGGAGCCCTCAAACGTATATCACTCCTTGCGGGCATGGGTGTAAACCCAAAAGGTACAATTATGACCAGTTTATGGGTAAATAAAATGAGATTCAGAGCTGTTGAGTCAACTGCCCAAGGTCACACAGCTAGGATGTAGGGAGCCTGGGATTCAACTTCAAAGTCTATCTCTTTCTACAATAGCCTATGCTGGAAACTAGGAGCCGGCAACTTTTTTTTTTTTTTTTTGGTAAAGGGTCAGATAGTAAATACTTTAGGCCTTGCAGGACTTACATGTTTTTTCCCAACAACGTTGCAAATGCAGCCATACACAATGTGCAAATGAATGGGTGTGGCTATGTTCCAATAAAACTTTATTTATGAAAACAAGGGGCTGCATTTGGTCCATAGGCCACAGTTTGCAAACCCCTGTTCTAGACTCAGGATAAAGAGCCTATGGTTCTATTTTTCCCTCTAGGAAGGCTGTGGGAGAGAGGCAAAAGCATGAACTCGAGTCAGGTGACTCTAGACTAGCATGCTAGCTATGTCCCCACTGCTGGGCTACCTTGGGTGAGTAAGGAAACTCTCTGAGCTTTTTTTCTTGTCTGTTAAAAGGGCATAACCACAACTTGTCTTTGAGTTCTTGAAAAGGTAAGCTAATATACGCTAAGTGTCTACCATGGCTAAGGTTCAATAAATGGCAGTGTTCATTATCAGAAATGACAAAGTCAAGAAGGGGAGGTGTGGAAAACATGCCATGGGATTGGGGGAAGGAGAGGAAGTGATGGTGATGCCACTGATACTAAATCCTGAAAGGTATATCTTCTCATGAAGGCTGGCTATGGGCTTTCTGCAGGAGAATGCTACTCTATACCTCACGAAACCCCAAGGGGGATTCATAGGTGCCTGTGATGGGAGAAATCTTTTCACCACCCCCGGAAGGAGCAGATGTGTGGAGCTTGGTGACTCCCCACGGAGGGTAGGGAGGCAGCTGTTCACAGACTTGATATGGCAAATTGTGTGATGTGCTGTCTTCCTGGGGCAGGCAGCCAAGCAGTGATGGAGGAGCCTCTGCAACCCCCTCCCCACAACGCCTGCTGCCCACGTCTGCTGACTCACCCAGGAGGGTCTGGGTATGCCAGAAGAAATCCAAAATGGCTCTCTAGTGAAGCACAAGGCTTTCAAAGGGGATGGAAACTTGGAGGCAGGGGAATGGTTTCTTCTGTTTCCACTTAAAGGGCATAACTTTGGCAGAGAAGGGAGGATGTGGGGAAACTCCATCAATATTGCTGAAGGCCAGGATGTGGCTCAGGACGCCAGATGATGAGTCCCTGGCAAGGGACAGAACTCACTGCCCCAAGACTGGCAACACCATGTTTGGCAGGAGAATTCTCCATCTGATCGAGAGGATGCTAAACTGGAACTTGAGAAGGAGAGGAAAAGTGCCCAGGAAAAACTATAAAACCAGATATGAAGAAAGCCAATATAAATGAGGAATTTTAAAAGGGGGGCCATGGAACAGGAAATGCTCAGGGAATCTCATATGTCTATATACCAAAGTACAAAGTATAGGAAACAATGTTAACTATGAAACTTTTGAGAAAGATGGTAAAGCTAAGCACAGATGTCCAACTCCCACCTAAGCTACCTCCTTCTGAAAGTGACAGAAAGGACCAAGGGAATATAAAAATAGGGGGGAATCTGCTTCAGCCTTGGAAAATAGGAAAGAGTGCCATCAATATGCCACCAACTTTGAGGAATTTCTGCTAGGTACAGTGCCAACAGAACCAGATTGAAGACTGACTCATGGCTCTCCTTCCTGAGAAAGTAGTGCGGTGCTGCAGGGAGGGTGGATGTGCTGACGAGACTGACCTCACAGCCTCTGATGGGTGAGTAAGTACTGGAGGGGAGGCTGGGCCACAGAAGGGTGCAGGGCCTACCTCTCACTAAGGAGTCCACCTATCACCCTGCAACCCAACAGCCTTCAGGAGTGGCTGGGTCATTAGATCTACGAACAAGCAAAGCCTATTGAAGTCCAGTTTCCCCAGGACAGGCCTAGGCACCTTGCAGACACAGCAGGCAAGTAAACAAAGTCAGAGGCCAGGGGGATCTCTGCACATCTGGAGCAGCTGTTTGACAAACTCATGAAGAAACCATTTAAACAAGAAAGGCCCACACCACCAAATGGTTTCCTAATCCCTTGGCTGCTTGTCCCTAGGCTGGTCATATAAAATGTTATCATCCAGTCTTCCAGATGAATATCCAAGGTGAAGAATCTAACAGCATCTAGATAAAACAATGAGGGGACTCAAGAAGAACTCACCCATGCTGTAAGCGAATACCAGGTCATAGAAGGCATAAAATGCATATGGAACCTATGAAAACTTTCTGAAACATAAAGGAAACAAACAAGGAATTCAAGCAAAGAAAGAATATCATCTCTAAAAAGAATTGCTGTAGGAAATAAAGGTAAATTGTAATACCCATTTTGTATTTCATGGAGGTTAAATAAAATCTGGATTCTAAATCTAAAAAATAAAATATATGAGAAAAGAAACTGAGATAAAAGAAACCAGGCATAGTTAATATAATAATGACTGGAAATGAATAATGTTATGAGAATTTTAAGAAGCATTAGAAGCAACAAGGAGCAGAATTTAATTGTAAAAAAAAACTGATGAATATTGTGGAGGACAGTCTTGAGATGTTCTCTCACAATGTGAAGGAAAAGGACTAAGATTAAAATGACCAGAGAGAAAACAAAAATATGGAGAATAAACTACAAAGGCTCACTCATGAATTATTGATATTTCTAAAAAAGATATCAGAACAAAAGAGTAATAATTAAAGATATAATAAAAGAAAACTAATGCAATCAGAAGAAAGACCAGATTCTTCGAATAAAAATGTAATCATATTTTAGACAAAACAAAAATCAGCTATGTGCCATTTTTTCTTTATGAGTATCAAAAATAAAGAAAGAATCCTACAAGCAACTGGTACAGGCGACTAAAAAACTTTATCTCCAAAGGAACCAAATCAGACTGCATCAGACTTTATTACAACATTGATGTAATGTCTAGAGAGCTTATGATCATAGAAATTTATACTTAGATAACTTGTCATTCATAGGCAAAGCTACAGAGAGAAATTGTGATTTATGCAAGGGCATAGATATAAAACTCATATGACCTTCCTGAAAAACAAAAGATGTACTCATGCCACAGAGAGATAAATCAAAAGACATAACTCATGAAACTGACTCATGTCAGAAGAAATTAGTCATGTAAATATGGATTTGAATCTTAAAATCATAGTTATTGTAGTATAGTTTCAAAATAAAGTGAACATCTCAAATAGCAACTGAAAAAAGCATATCCACAATGTAAAGAGTAAAATCAAATTAAAACTCAGATTATAACAATACAGAATTAGAGGCAGTGAGGGATGGAGAGTAAACAAGTGTACTGATTTATGTAACTTACAATAGATATTGTTGCATTTCTAGGTTGGCACTTAGGGAAGTAGAAGACCGATATTTTAAACTTAAAGTACAATTGTAGCATAGTTTTATTATAATGAGGATGAGATATTATTTAGCTGAAACTATAGGATTTCATCAAAGCTGTAATCAAAGACATTTATATGCTTAACTACGCTTAATAGCAACCAAAACAAGAGTAAAAAATAAATATGCAAATTAAGAAATTAGAAGAAGAATGGTGAAAGAAACCTACATATAAAGGGAAGGTATTATTCAGGAGAAAAGCAGAAGAAAATAAATTAAGAAGTAGATAAATCAAAGCACAGCCAGTAAGAATCCAAGAGCTGGTCCTTTGGTTAAAAAACAAGATAATGGGATGCTCTACTGAAGACTTAACTTGTGTTTTTCTGCTATCTTCTTTAGCAAGAGAAATGTCTGAAAAGATGAGTAATCTTTAAAGGAGAAGCAAGTAGACCTCCCCCACGGCCTCAAGCAATCAAGTAGCTGCTTTAAGAAGGAGGATAAACGTGTAGCTCTATTACGTAGCAAAATGGAATAACAGGACCATTTGGGAGTAGAGCTCTAAGAGGAACCCTCTCTGACCTGTGGGGATGTGGATA